>NC_000009.12:106402370-106553885 GCF_000001405.40 Homo sapiens
AAGCAGCACTAGCAGAAGGATGTTTCTGTGGGATCATATGGAGCCTGTCATTTTAAATTTTTTTATTGGTCACATATATTAACTAATAAATAGCTAGAAGATGTAAGGATAATCTATGTGTTTGTATTTAAAAACAAATTTTCAAAATATATAAAGCAAAAATTAACATATGTATATGGACAAATAATTCTGCAATAAAGATTTTAACACTTTACTGTGAGAAACTAATAGAACAACTAGACAAACAAAAAAATCAGTAAAGATATCAATGATCTGTACAATATAATCAAATCCCTTAACATAGTTGATGTTTATAAGACACAACACTGAACACCTGGTGAATACATGGTCTTTTCAATGCTTCATGGTACATTCACAAAAGTGGACCAAATTCGGAGCCAGAAAATTCCTCAACAAATGTAAAAGCATGAATACCATATATTATCTAATAACAATGGAATTGAATTAAAAATTATTAAGAACAGATGTTATCAATTGCAGTTCAAGCAATAAGAAATTATATATATAACATACACATGTACCTACACACAAACCTATTATTACATACACACACAATCATATTTGTTATAGGGAATTGGCTAATATAATAGTGAGAGTTGGCTAAGTGGTCACAGTAAGGTTATTATCTCTGTAACCAATGGTGGAACTTCAGGTCCATAAGATCAGGCAGCCAGGAAGGGAGAATCACAAACAGGCTGAAACAGACAAGCATAAGCTGGAACCCCACAAAGATGGACTAGAACCTATGACCATTCTTGCTGCCTCTGTCATAGTGATGAAAGAATATTATAGAAGCCAGGATTGTTTATCACTGAACTAAACACACAAACCTGACCCATGAGTCAGAGAAGCTGAAGGAAGATCCAGGAGATAATAGAACAATTGCAGGTCCAGCTACTGCTTCATACCAATGAAGTCAATCAGTGGATTAGTAACAGCCTGTGTGAGCTACAAAATAGCTGTTGCTTTCCTTATAGCCTCCTAATTACCCCTAAGAATCTCCCTTGTAGCACGCCATAACCAGGAATGTACAAAAAAGGAAATTCTGGGAAATGCAGTTGAGCCAAACCAAGTTGACACATTATAAAGCATTCACACCAGGAAAATTTTAGATATTAAAAAATTCACAACACAGCGTTTAATAGTCCATGAATTAAGGAAGAAATCACGGGCAATTTGAAAATAGTTTGAACTAAATATAATATTGAAAATACAACATGAAATTTGTGAAATGCAGTTAAAGCAATACTTAGATGGAAATGTATAACTTTAAAAGACGCTAACATTAGAAAAGAAGGAAAGTTTAAATTAGTGATCTCTACAGAAATAATAAATATTCCAAGAAATTAGAAAGAGGATGAAAATTAGTGAAAGAGGAATAAATTAATAAAGAGAAAAATCGATTATTTAAAGGAGCGTCAAAATTGATAACCTCGTAGCTAGATTGATCAGGAAAAAAAAGAGAAAGGACACAAATTACTAACATCAGTAATATAAGAGAATAGCAAAACATATCTGATAGTCATTAAAAAATAATAAGAGAATATGTGAACAATTTTATGCCAAAAGATTTTAAAACTTAGATGAAATGGATTGTTTTCTTGAAAAAATTAAACTTACCAAAACTGACAGTAAATGACACTGAATCTGAATATCCCCAATTTTGTTAAAAAAAAAATTAAGCTATTATCAATATCCTTCCCATAAAATAGATTCTAGGCCCAGATGTTTGTGCTTGTGAATTGTATCAAACTTTAAAAAGTAACCTTATATTAAAATAAAGAAGAAAATATTTCCCATTAGTCTTATGTGGTGAGTATAGCCCTAAGGCCAATATCTGACAAATATTACAGAAAAAGTAAATTACCATTAACTATTCCTCATAGGAATTAAGCCAAAAATACTTTTAAAAAATTAGGAAATCTAATCATGTATATATCTTAAAAAATATACCACAATCAAGTAAAGTTTATCTCAAAAATGAAAGACTAGTTTTATCATTTGGCAATGAAGAATATAATTTACTATATTTACAGAATAAAAGAGAAAGTTATCTTTTCCATAATTATTTTAAGAAGCAGTCAAAATGTATTATCCACTTATGATTAAAGAAAAAATCTTGCCTTGAATTAGGAATAAAAGGAATTTCCTCAGTGTAATAACGGTCACATTAGAAAGCCTACAGCCAACTTTACATTTAATACAAGATGCATTCCCTAAGATCAGGAATAATTCAATGATATCTACTCTTATGTGTATTCCACATTGAACAAAAGATATTAGGAAAGTAAATTGTTAAGGAAAATGTTTGCAAAGCAAAAAACTGACAAAAGATATCCAAAACAAAGAATTCCTACAATTCAATAATAAAAACATAAAGTACCCAATAAAAAATGGGAAAAATAATTTACTATACATTTCACAAAAGAAGTACTTGAACAATTGATCAACATCATTAGTCAACTGGGAAATACAAATTGAAACCACAATGAGATACCACTCCATTCACATGAGAATGGTTTCAATTACAATGACTGATAATAACAATTATTAGAGAATATACGGAACAAGAGGAACCCTCATACAATGCTTGTGGGAGTATAAAATGGTCTTATAAGTTTCTTATAAAATGAAATGTCCAAGTACTCAAAGACCCAGCAATTCCAACCTTAGTTATTTACCTAAGACAAAGTAACTTGTACAAAAATGTTTATAGAAGTTTTAGTCATAATAGCACAAACTGGAGACCCCAGATACTAATCAATATGAAAATGGATAAACAAATTGATATAGTCATATAATGGCATACTACTAAACAATAATATGGAAAAGGTTACTGATATGTACATGCATCAATTGGATGAATTTCCAGAACACTCTGCTAACTGAGAGATGCCTTATACAAAGTATGCATGTTGCATAATTCCATTTATATAATATTCTAGAACAGGCAAATCTAACGTATACAGAAAAAAAATTAGAACGAGAGTAACTACCTAGAAAGTAGCATGGGTAGCAATTGACTAAAAGCGAGGAAAGAGAACTTTCTGGATGATTATGTTCTATATCCTCATAGGGGCTTGGGTTACAACAGATATATGGATTCTCAAAACTCATCAAAAGTAGAGTTAAGATTTGTGCATTTCAGTGTATGTAAATTTTAGATCCAAAGAAAGTAACTATCAAACAAATATTAAACTCCAGTTAATGATGGGCATGGTGTAGTATTTGGAGGGAAACAGTCAGATGTCTGCAATTTGCTTCTAAATGCCTTAAAAATAAGGCAAAATGATGGATGTATATAAGGATAAGTAAATAGATAATGTGATAAAAAACAAGTCTAGTAAAGGTTAATGATAGAATCTAGATGATTAGTATTCTGGTGTTCATGGTAGAATTTTTCGACTTTGCTGTCTGTGAAACTTCGAATAATACATGTTAGGAGGAAAAAACTAAAAAGATGAGCAAGTAATCAGAAAGTTTTCAGGGTTTGGTCGTTTAGTTGTAGTTGTTCAGAAAGGTAAGAGTTTTATTTACTAATTTTTAAATATGGCACTAGCTACTATATTTCTCTACCAATATTTTCTAAGCCAACCTATGATTAAATGATAAAGGAATCCAGAAGAGTTTTCAGACATTCCTGAGAATTGACTTCTGCTTGGACAAAAGAATTCCTAAGTCTGGCTTTGAGAACCAAATGTTTCTGTTAGCATGGAAGTAGATTAGGTTAACTTTTCATATTCTCAAAACCCCAGGGTTTGGAGCAGGTGGAGTGTGACTTTCAGTCTGAAACTGAAAAGTGCCTTCTTTATTCACCAGCCATATCTGGAGGAATCAGTCACTTGATTGACAGAGCCCCTAATGACCTGGTGCATTTTGTAGCATAATAGTACTGCAGGTGTCTTTTAAAAGGATGTTTCAGATAGGACAGTGAGCCCCCTTCCTTGGTAAATCATACTTGACCATGCACAAATAAGATCTTTGTTTAGCCTGGGGAGTATACGTAAAAATCTTCCATCTCCACTTGAAGGCACAACTATCTCAGATAGTTGTATATTTCTTTTTGACAGTAGACACATTTACACTTTTTCTTTACTTAATATCTTTCTTTTGCCTACAACAAAGTGATAGTTCTATAGGTCAGTAATTGCACTTTATTCTAAGAGATAAGGCTTGTTTTCCAGCACCTGTCCTGTTGCTTTGCAAATTAAGGGATGGAGTTTCACAGACATGGATTCGGGTTGGAGAAAGGCTGTGGCCTCCTGAAAGTAGTGGTGATTGGCCGAGAGAGATCTGAATTGAGCTCTTCTCTCTGTAGAATAAGAACAGAATAATTATGAACAGAGTCACATGGTAGACAATAACCAATAAAAGAATGTTGATGGGAAGAAATGTGTGTACTGATGGTAATAATTCTCTACCTTTTCCTGGGAAATAACATTGAGAAAAGGTTAAAATGCTCTCTTGAGCTCCCAGGAAGATGGCAATTTCCTTCTTCCCACATATCTTCTCCTCCTCCTCCTCCTTCTCCTTCTCTTCTTTCTTCTCTTTCTCTTCTTTTTCCTCTTATTCTGGTGTTAATAAACTGTAAGGTATTTATATTTCTATTTATATCTAGATGTAAATCTAGATATAGGTATATACCTTACAGATCTTATAGGTATATACCTTACAGATCTTTATATATGTTTTACATATATAAAACATCTTTTCTCTATTTTTAATAGGTAGGTAAATGTGAATCTTGTTGATTTCCAAATAATGCATCATGAACATAGGAGGTTGAACTGTCACTCTGAACATTACTTGAGTATAGAATTAAGAAGGAATGTTGCAGAAAGGCAAATGAGTCTGCAAATAGAAGGAAGTAAGATTATGAACAAATTCTCCTTTGTGTTAAATATGTGTTGCCTTGTTTGTTTAGATTCCGTCTTCTTCCAAAAAATAATCTTACATGCCTTAAAATAAAACATACATGTACCACAATTTTATCAAAATATGAATAAATGAAAATCAAATAGAAGAAAGTAAAAAATGTATGAAAATACTAGTAACATATAATAAAACATTACAGTTAATCATGCATTTCTTATAAATTAAACCAGAAATATATACAAAATCACAGTGAGTCATATTCTCCTTTTCAACAGGATAAACAAAGCGCAGCAATTCTTTAGCAAAACAAGCAAAAAAAAACTATAAATCATGCTGCTATAAAGACACATGCACATGTATGTTTACTGCGGCACTATTCACAATAGCAAAGACTTGGAACCAACCCAAATGTCCAACAATGATAGACTGGATTAAGAAAATGTGGCACATATACACCATGGAATACTATGCAGCCATAAAAAATGATGAGTTCATGTCCTTTGTAGGGACATGGATGAAATTGGAAATCATCATTCTCAGTAAACTATCGCAAGGACAAAAAACCAAACACCGCATATTCTCACTCATAGGTGGGAATTGAACAATGAGAACACATGGACACAGGAAGGGGAACATCACACTCTGGGGACTGTTGTGGGGTGGGGGGAGGGGGGAGGGATAGCTTTAGGAGATATACCTAATGCTAAATGACAAGTTAATGGGTGCAGCACACCAGCATGGCACATGTATACATATGTAACTAACCTGCACATTTTGCACATGTACCCTAAAACTTAAAGTATAATAATAATAAAATTAAGAAATAAAAAAAATCCACCTTTTACCTGTGCTAAATTTTTAAAGAAATTTAATATAGTCATAC
Organism: Homo sapiens; assembly: GCF_000001405.40. Classification (NCBI taxonomy): domain Eukaryota; kingdom Metazoa; phylum Chordata; class Mammalia; order Primates; family Hominidae; genus Homo; species Homo sapiens. Next base: position 106,408,150 of record NC_000009.12, read on the forward strand.
TATGCATGAATATTTATAAAGCTCTTTGGTTTAAAAACTCTCTTTTCCCCATTACTACTCACAAATCTATATTTGCCTTATTTTACAGAAGGATAGATTGAAGTTAAGAGAAATACGATTTTGTGATTAATAAATTACACAGCAGGAGCCCCAGCCCGCACCTTTTCACTCCAAATCTTGTGCTCTTTCCATGTTATCACGTCAGGGACATTGGCTATGATAATGGATGCTGTTTTTAACAGTGCATTTATTGAAGATACAGGAATGGAGATAGTATATAACCTTTCCTGTGTTGACCCTTAGTTAAAAGCTGAGGGTATAGAGGTTAAAGCGAAACTCATTGAGTGACTTGCTGTTTGGGGATAATTTACTGTGGTCCAGGTATTTTGTTTTCCAGTTATTTAAAGAAAGTTTAAGATTTTAGAAAAACTGAAGGAATTGAGGCAAAATGTGCCCATTAGACTAACAATCCCATAATTATTTTCTTGATTGGAAATTGTATCAATTTCCAGTCAGGGTCCCAGCAGTAAACAGATGGCACCACTCAAACTGGGAAATTGAAGTGAGTTTAATAAAGGGGCTACTTACAAAGGAGTGGGTAGAGTTAGGGAAATCAACAAGGGCCAGTGCAGGACTTCCAGAGAGGAGAGGAGCTAGTCAAGGAGTAGCACCCCTACAGGAAGGGAGCTAGAGGAATACTTTCCCTGATGAACTCTCCAGTCTCCTGCTGGCAATCTCATTGACCAAACTGAACAGAAAGTAGAGGATATGGGAGCCCTTTGATAGTATACATTCCATAGAGGTCAGTGTCTAAGGGCACAGAGCATGGTGCAGAAAAATGGAGAATAGATGTGGAGGCGTACAGCAGCACAAAAATGAATGGAAGTTGGTACAGGAATACATTCTCTGGAAGAAGCAAACAAAGCAGGCATTTGGTAAATCAAAGGCAGACCTATCTGCTCTCAGTTACAGCTGAGATGATTAGTATAGATTAAGCTAAAAAAAAAAGGTTTCTATAGATTAAGCTAAAAAGGTGAAAGAAGCTTTTTAAAAACACCAGTTATGTTCCAGGTACTATGTGGGTTGCTTTCCAGGCATCAGATCATCTAATTCTTGCAATAATAATAGCAGATATCATTTTTACCATTATACATGTGAAGAATTAAAGCTCAGATAGGCCAAGTGATTGAACCTACAAAACGCTACTAAATACCAAATCTGAGATTTGAATCCAGGGTTTTCTGACATGAAAGGCTGGACTTCTTCACCTTTGCAGTTTTCCTGCCAACTTTATTTATATGTGACCAGAAGAATGCCATAACACATTTGCACTGAAGTAGAAGCTTAATGTTTCTGAAGATGCAGTTTTGGATTACTCAGATGTACAAACAAGTGATCAATCAAAGCTAAAAATTACCACTCAAGGGAATATGGAAGAGAGTACTCAAGTTTGGAAACTTCAAAGACAATAACTATCATATGCCTTGCCCATAATGATAGCTACCATTTACTGAATATTTAAGAAATAGACTGTTTGCTTTCTGTGCACACAATTCATCCTCATATCAACCTGATGAAGATGAGACTGGAAAGTGAAACACAGAAGGAGAGCTAATAAGGTAAAAAGGATGGGCACAGAAGCTAGAATTTTGGAAATAAACTTTGTTTCCACAATTATAAAACAAAGTAAAATTTTAAAATGAAAAATACATTTCCCAAAAACAGAAGGACAATTTTTTAAAAACTTACTTGGTATCGATTTGTTGATAAAACCTAAAGAAAGGAATATTTTCAAGTGATTTTAAAACAGAGTTGGCCGGGAGCGGTGGCTCATGCCTGTAATCCCAGCACTTTGGGAGGCCGAGGCGGGCGGATCACGAGGTCAGGAGATCGAGACCGTCCTGGCTAACACGGTGAAACTCCGTCTCTACTATAAAATACAAAAAAAAATTAGCGGGGCGTGGTGGCGGGCGCCTGTAGTCCCAGTTGAGGCAGGAGAAACCCGGGAGGCAGAGCTTGCAGTGAGCCGAGATCGCGCCACTCCAGCCTGGGAGACAGAGCGAGACTCCGTCTCAAAAAAAAAAAAAAAAAAAAAACCAGAGTTAACCTGTCTGTGTACATCTTTAGCAGGAAGTATCCTAAGGACAAAAAAAAAAAAAGAAAAAAAGGCTGCAAAAAGAAAATCTTGAACTATTTTTTAGGATGATATTGTGACCAATAATGTTGACATTGTTATTCTAAAAGTATTATGCATATAATTTATGATATATATTTAATGCACTATAATACAATAAAGCAATAGTACTTTAATTACTGTCATTAGGACCTAAGACTTTTAGCATAGGACAAAAAGAGATATAATTATAAAATCAAAGAAGTTAAATAAAGCCTCTGTAAGTTGCCATTTGAACTGGAAATATCAGTTGTATTCATGACATATAGCTTTGTACACTGAAAAGACAAAAATAATAACCAATCTAGTAGCAAGAGACACTATCAGTACCCAAATTATGTTCTCTAAATATCTTTTCTTCCTAGAGGAGCCAGGGCTGCTTGGAGAAATAACTGATTTCAGCTCTATGACAAGAAATGTACAAAATGTGCTGGCAACACTTTATCATACCAGGAAGTAAAGAAGCTCTCAGAAACTATTGGGGCCATGAAAGACTAAGAGGTCAATGTAAAGTGATTACCACTGGACCAAGATGAAGCAATTTGAGCATCTATAGGAATAATACATGTAAAAATAGAAATACATCAAAAGTGAAAAATCAGTGACACTACAATGATGTTTAAAGAGAAAAAAAGTCATTGGTAACTTTTGGAGTATGCTAAAAAACAACTTTTCATTTTTCTGAAAACAGGTTGATATGGTTTTGCTGTGTCCCCACCCAAATCTCATCTTGAATTCCCACATTTTGTGGGAGGGACCGGTCATAGGTGATTGAATTATGGGGAAAGGTCTTTCTTGCCCTGTTCCCGTGATAGTGAATAAGTCTTATGAGATCTGATGGCTGTATAAGGTGGAGTTTCCTTGCACAAGCTTTTTTTCACCTGCTGCCATCCACGTAAGATCGTAAGATGTGACTTGCTCCTCTTTGCCTTCTGCCATAATTATGAGGCCTCCCCAGCCATGTGGAACTGTAAGTCCAATTAAATCTCTTTCTTTTGTAAATGGCCTAGTCTTGGGTATGTCTTTGTCAGTTGCATGAAAATAAACTAATACACTGGTAAATAGAGAATCAAGAATTCCACCTGCTTTTCTATACAATCTCAGGTTAACCAAATATTTGATGAAGGAAAGCTTATTTTTATAAAAGTATCCCAAGTAACACATGAAGGCGAAAAGAATTAGAAGATCACCATTTTTCAAGCCCCTAATAAAACGGTGGATCTAGGTAATGATAATTAATAACTCCTAACATCACAAAAAGAGAGAAAAGTGGACACTATGGTCTCTTGTTGGAATTACGAAACACCATCTGTGAAGGTTTTTTAAACTAAAACATTGACCTAAGTCAGATCCAGTTCTGGGTATAATTATTAGATTATGAGATATACAGGTGCAGAAGGACATATTAAATATTACCATAGGGTCACAATCAACAAAATCCAGAATGTAAAAAAAATGCTATGGGACAGCCCCAGTGACTTGATTTCTTCAACTATTTGATTAAAAAAAAAAAAAGAGGGAGAAGCTTTAGATTAAAATAGACCTAAGAAACTATAAAAATGGATCCTGATTTGAAAAAAAAGTTAAAAAATATAATAAAAACAAATTTATTAAAAATTAGGAATAGTTGACACTGCCTGGATATTTGACAATATTAAATATTTGACACTGCCTGGATATTTGATGATACTAAATATCCAGGCAGTGTCAAATATTTATGGGGATTAATATAAATGTTTATGGGAATTAATGACAGTATTATGGTTATGTTCTTTCAAAAATTCTTATTTTTAGGGGTACTTACTGAACTAATGAAACAATAAGATGTCTGGGATGGTTCAAAATAATCGAGACATTTGGAGATTGGAGTTACTGGGGAGGATTGACAAAGCAAGATTGGGCCTGAATTGATAATTATTGATGATGGGAGATGGGTTTGTGGGGATTCATTCTATTTCTTTGTACTATGTATTTGAACTATTACATAATATGGTATTTAAAAATGTGTTCCAATCTGTGGGATTACTAAATTCTACATGTGCATAGTTCTTAAATATTTTTAAGTTTATCCAGTTATTTAAATATATTTTCACAAATCCTTTTACATGTAATGGGTATGAGTCTTGGTCTATAAACTCCGACGTGTAAGGGAAAGCAGTTTTTCAAAACTTTTCTGAAATTGAACCTAGTTTATATTTAAAAGCTCCATTTCCCCAATAGTAGAGATATGCAGAAACTTAATCTCAGTCCGTTGAGGATTACCACCCTTTTCCTGAGGTGCATCCAAGTTCAGGGGAGTTGCCATGTTGCTCTCCTCTGGGATTAGGAGGCATCTGGTCTTCAGTGTCATCTGTCCATGCTGACATCTGTTGAAACATCCATCATGCCATATGATCCATGATCTTTAGTGCACAGGGATCACCAAAGTTATCCCTTTTTTCAGTACTTAAGCCTTCTTCACTTCTGACTTTTCCAGCTGATAATTGTGTCTCCCTCTTGGGTGCAAGTGAATCATTCTGCCCACATGAGGCTGTGGTATGGAAAATTTCTGTCAGGCTCTCCAAGCCCTATCTTCCTGAATGCACAGCACAGTCATTATTTTAGGGGGGGGTTGGTCCTCCCAGGGACTCTTGCTTATAAAGGAAGCACAAGTCTCCTCTGCTCCTGCATTTCACAAACACACCTAGGGGTCCATATCATCCTTTTCCCGACTGGGCTTCAGCCCCACACAGGGTCAGTGAAGTCAGCCAGCGGGACATATTTTAGGCGACTGCCGATATATTATACCTACCTGTACCTCCAAATGTCCTTATTCCCAGCTGCAGAAACTCTGTTCTAGTCTCAGAGACAGGAAGTCTTGTTCAGATTCATAATTGTACTCATCCTGAATTATTTCTATTTCCCCAAGAAGAAGGCATTAGAAACCCAAAAGCCAGGAAGAGATTCTTCTTTTATCTTCTTGCTCCTAACAGTCGCCTTTCAATGGGAATGAATGAACTGCCCACATGAGGAGCAAAGGTGAGGACAATAACACTAAAATATTTGAACAAACAAACACTATGTGGCAAGCACTATTCTAAATGCTTTGCATATATTAACTTGCCTGATCCTCATGACAACCCTATGAAGTGGGTACAATTATCTTCATGTTAGAGATCGTGAAACTGAGGTTTCAATTACTTGTTCACGATTAGACAGCTAGTAAGTGCTAGAACTAGAATTCCAATCCGGACAGTCTGCCTCTAGATCGGTGCTCTCTAAACCATGAAGAGACACGTAGATTAAAGATTGAATCCATTGGAAGGCTCTAGTCCAACTCTTATTTGCATGTTTCATTTTTTAAATCATCAGAAGTATAAAACTGGCTGCTTCATTAAATTTTTTTTTAATTTTTACTGCTTTATCCATATGAAGCAGAGAGAATGTGAAAGAAAAAAGAACAAGCAGTATTTACTGAAGTCTCATAGGTATGCCTCACTATAGCACTGGAATTTAACATTATTACATTTCCATTTTTTACAGATGATGATGCTGACCTTTAGTGTAGCTAATGCTCTGGTGGACCCACTGTGAAAAAGTGGAAGGGCTGTGATAGAAACCAAAGGCCATTGGATCAACCAAGGTTAAGCTTATTCCCCTGCCACACAAGAGAGCTTAACTACCTTTTGACCTGAAATTAAGGGGGACAGTTGCAGGTCCCTACAAATATCTGGTCCTGCCAGGGGAAAGGAGATGCAGGCTTTGGGCCTGTCAGGCCGCTATGTTTTCACCAGCTGTGACTCTGCTTGCCTTTACACAGCATTAATGAAAAGACTAGAGCAGTAACAGATGGAACACACTCGAACTTTCCAATCAGGGTTCTTCGATCCCCTTTGGTTCCTCTCTGCTCCGTGCATCATCTGCATGAAAAAGCCCAGTGGATCTTTTTCAGCTGCTTCCCGTCAGCCCATGTAATGTCCTTTCTGACACTCCTCTGGGAGAGCCCCGTGTTGTGCAAGAACAGACAGGAGGGTGCAAATAATTAGAACTTAGATTGTCAACCCACACAGTCTTCGAAGTCAGTCACACAGAAAATGCATTGGGTTGACATATGATGCACAGTGCTGTTTTATGGAAATAAATGGTCTAAACTGCTTAGTTTTGGTAAAAGTTGATAGTGTATTTTATGTGTCCCAATCACTCATTTTTATGGGAACTGAGGCAATAACATTGATTAAGATGAATTCTTCGGAGCCAGTGTCAGTTAACTCTGGTTGTGCACAGGGTATCATTCATTTAACTTTTCCTTTTCCTCTCTTCCCCTGACCAGGCATCATATGTGATATATATAATTTTAAAAGTCATTTGTAGATGTTTAGAAATAAAAATGCTCAGGTTTGTAAGCATAATAATCTCCACGAGTAAGAAATTGTCATTTAGACGTAACTGTACATTACAAACTTGTTATGGGAATCCTAAATTAATGTACAGAAAACAAACACACCCAGACACATACACCTTGATGGAGGTTAAACTACTCTCCTCCCCTTCCTGTCATAATAGCTTAGCATAATGATAGTGCTGTCATTATAAATATTTGGAAGCTTCTGCATCTTGATAATTGATGGATTCTGAATGTTGGAGAACTCAGAGAATAATTTTTAAATCAGCACCAGCAATATATTCAAAGTGTTTCCCTGGATTTTCAGAATGAAAACCAGAACCAGCCTCTATTTCTTAAGAAATGATTGGAAAGAGAGAGAGAGCTAGAGAAAGAGAGACACAAATACACCCGGCCCTCTGTTATTTCCTAGGTCTTCCTTCGGTAAATTGAAAACGGTACCTCCCCTCTGTGAGTCTGCCGCCCTCCAGATGCTTGGCCCGGATGCCATACACCTGCTCAGTGTCAGCCAGAACCCACCAGAGCATATGGCAGCTCACATATTGCCTTGTCTCGGGATGGATTGGGAACGCTGGTCACCTGGGCTGTATTTTCAAGTGGTGTGACAGCAGCTGTGGGAAGCCCAGAGAATGACAGGCTCTCACTGCTCTTCTTACTAGTGGGAAAGGAGCACGAGAGGAACAGAAGGGAGATGTTTTCATATACCCAGTAGCTACGACTTGACTCTCCTGTAAAAGGACACACCGCTTGCTGTCTTCACCCACAGTGAGCAGGTGCAATAGAAGGGAAATTCTGATTTTTTTTTATTTAAAATTGCAACTGTGGTAGGCACAATTATGGCCCCTGAAGATGTTCATGTCCTAATCCCTGGAACCTGTGAATATGTTACCTTACATGGCAAAAGGGAATTAGGTAGCAGATATAATTCAAGTTGCTTATCATCTGACCTTAAAAGAGGGACATTATCCTGGATAACCTGGGTGGGCCCAGTAGAATCATGAGGGTCCTTAAATGTAGAAAGGAAGGTAGGAGAAGAGGTCAGAGTGATGCTATGTGAGAGGAAGTCCACCTGCTGTTGTTGGCTTTGAAGATAGAGGTAGAGCGTCACAAGCCAAGGGATATGGCTCTGTGTCTCTACGTAAATCTCATGTTGAACTGTAGTCCCCACATGTTGAAGGAGCGGGTCTGGTGGGAAGTGATTGAATCATGGGGGCAGACTTACCCCTTGTTTTTCTCGTGATGGAGTTCTTACAAGATCTGGTTGTTTAAAAGTGTGTAGCAATTTCCGCTTCGTTCTCTCTCTCCTGCTCTGCCATGGTAAGACGTGCTTGCTTCCCCTTTGCCTTCCCGCCATGATTTTAAGTTTCCTGAGGCCTCCCAGCCATGCTTCCTGTACAGCCTGCAGAACTGTGAGTCAATTAAACCTCTTTCCTTCAGAAATTACTCAGTCTCAGGTAGTTCTTTATAGCAGAATTGACTAACACACCAAGCAATGCAGCAGCCTCTCAAAGCTGAAAAGGGTAAGAAGTGGATTCTTCCTCCAGAACCCCAGAAAGGGACATAGCCCTGTGACACCTTGATTTTAGCTCAATGAGACCCATTTGGAACTTCTGAATACAGAAACTAAGAAAATCACTGTGCGTTGTTTTGTGCCAGTAAGTGTGTGGTAATTTGTCATGGCAGCAGTAAGAGACTAATAAGTGGAGTTATGGTGTGAACCTGTGGTTCTCAACATTGGAGTGTACTAGAATCAGCTGGGGAGCTTTTAAAAATTCTCAGCTGGAGCACACCCCAGGCAATCATGTGAGAATCTCTGGGTGTGAGACCCAGGAATCAGAAATTTATCAACTCCCACGTGATTCCAATGTGCTACCAAAGTTGAGAAGCAATGATTTAGTGGATGGAACCTCCACAGTGTTTGGAGTCAAGAAAGTTGGGTTCAAACACTATTTCTATCATTTCAAGGTTAAGCTCAATTCAGTTGGCCTGCATATTAAATGTGCATGCACATCTGTATATTTATATCTATAAAATATTAATATATGTATATATACATCAAAAACTCCTGCAAAGTGAGCAGTTATATGTCAGTGAAGTTTTACATGTAGAGTCCAGCACATGGTAAATGCATGTAATGGAAGTTATTTTGCTAAAACTGAGTAGTTGAAAGCTACTGAAGAGATTTTTAAAATCTTCCTCTAGTAACATAAACAAAAAATGCTTAGTTTCCTATTGTATGTTTTTCTGGGCCCATGTGTCTCAAAGTATGTTCTAATTTGAGATCCATCTTTAGATTTATGTCAGATCACTGGCATGTTGAGGAAAGCAAGATGGTTTTATGAAATTTTTTTGTTTTTGACCATGAGCATACTAAACCAGTCCTTCTTATTTGAGGTTTTCTGCACTTCACTGCTAACTTTCAGGCTCAGATTGTAGGCCGTGTCCTCAGGCAATTTCCTTAACTTTGCCTTCAGCCTTCATTTCCTTGTTAGTAAAAGAGGGACCACAATTCTCTTTCCCATCCGTAAGTGTTACGGGATTTGAGAGAGCAAGCGTAAAATATCTAGCACAATGCCTGGCCTGCAGTCATGACTTGACAAATGCTATTTTTGTAGTAATATGGGTCAAGTCCAAATCCAACTAATGGAATGGAAGAATAAAGTGGAAAGTCAGTGGTTGTGAAAATAGAAGAGAGGGAGTTGCTCAGGGCTTTGGTTTGGCCAGATGTCCATGGTTTTACAGGTTTCCAGCAGGTGTATAGCTTGAGCACAGCTGTGTGCAGGAGCTCTGGCCTGCTGAACACCAGATACTGGGCCACGCCTTTGGAAACACAGAGACATGGGAAAGCTGGTTGGCTTCACGGACATTTAAGAGTGCAACAGGCCACTTGCTGCCCAAATAATGCAAGTGTTTTCAGTTATGCCTCCTCACTCAGTTGTTAAGCCCTTGAGGGCAGAGGCTTTGGTTCATGGTTCTTTGTCATCTAATTTCCTTGCTCAATTCTGGGCACAGTGTAAATGCACAATAGAATCTTGCTGTTTCATTAGCCCATAAGAGTCACATAAAAATGATTAAGAGAAATGTAACACATTCTATCTTCCTTTCCATTTCAATAAGTTGAAAGTAGCACAGTTCTTGAAACCAGGGGCGTAGGGTTGCAGTTCAGACCACAGAATTAGTACATGGGTGAGCCCTTTCTCTGTGTGATCTTGGCTAAGTCACTGGCCTTTCATCTGTCTAATGGTGTTGGAGTGATAGCAGCATTCTATCTTCAGTGCCTCTCTTACAGGGTTAGTACCTGAAACAAGTAATATGAGGGTGAAGGATTTCCATAAATTTGAAATAAAGTAATAGTTTTGGTTTCAAAAGAGGTAAAGCTCACATCTGATTGGGGAGATAACGGGTGAATTTTTGAAGAAGCCATTTAAGGGTAACACCTAAATAAATTTTCTTTTTTACGTTATTCAGGATTCAGAGTCTCCTGTTTTCCAAATGCAACTGGTAGAAACATGTTAATAGTGAAAACGGATTGGATAGGCCATGGGCTATAAACCACTCAGACCTAGGCTCAAATCCCAACATATGCACTTAACGTATGTGGAATCTCAGTCAAGATAAAACTTCTCTGACCCTTAGCATCGTTTTCTTCAAATGGAAGTGATGCTTTTGAAATGGTAGGGCTGGCCATTATGAACGTTCACTGCATGCCTCCGATTGTGCCTGTATCATGTTATGTGAAAAACTTCAGTTTCCCTTCATGGGGGTTTCTCAAGAAGCCCAGTTGTTTACAGGATAGATTATAGTTGTGTGGATAGATTATAGTTGGAGGTCTTCCCCTGCTAAAAGATAATAATCATTTATTTAGGTTATAATTTTTAAAGACATTTATTATTATTTGTATGTTTATATATTAAATACATAATTATGTTTATTTTAAAGTATATGTTAAATGTATCATATATACATAGATATACTATATATGTACATATATTACACACACACACACACACACATATATATATATACACATTCCTGTAGTAAAAAATTAATACTAATGAAACAAAAGTTATCTCAGTCCCCTTTTTAGAGGTAGATTTTCTTTCTTAAACATCAGTTTTTATCAGAAAAATATAAGGCGAAATTATTGTTTTATCTGATTTCAAGGATCAGACAGCTGGAATCTGTTCCCTTGAGAGTGTCAAATCTAACACTATCCTCAGGAGGCTCTAGAGAACAGTACTTAGCAAACCTAGTGATTTGTGGGTTGGTGATCTCTTCCAGGATGCTAATTGGGGCCAGATCAGCTGTTTCCAGGCACTCCTAAAATGCCCTCTCTATTTACTCTGCCCTTTACCCCTGCCAAGAACACACCACTGTGGCACAGTGTAGAGGAAAGAACATGGGAATCGGGAGACAGCAGTGCTGAAAGCCTGGTGGGGAACACAGGCAGGTTATGGAAACTCTGCTTCTCAGTGTCCTCATCTGTGAAATGGGAATTGTTTGTTACAACTGTGTCCCAGGATTGCTATGAACATTAAATAGCATCATGCTTTCAAATCTCGAAATATTTATAAAATATGAAACATTCTGGTGACACACACGATAAAGAATGGAAGAAAATTTGGAAGAGAAAAGAACAGAAAGCCATAATAAATTTGATTGCATATTACTCCTAATAGTACTCTTAATGTCATAAAACCCCATTGGTTTCATCTTCAGTATTGTACTGTATCTACTCACACTACAGTTTATAGCTCTGGAATGGTTTGTAACAAAGACCTTCATTCAACAAAATTTATCAAGCACCTACTAAGTGCCAGCCTTGACCATGCAAGTGAACAAAATGACTTGCCCTCGTGGTGCTTTTATGGCTTTAGGAAATCCCAGGATGTCAGCCCAAGAGAGTTCTCTGACATGCACCTACTACAGTGAGGTCCCGGGTCTTGCATTCTTCATCTTCCACCTAATATAATTCTGGGTCCCAGATCCCTCAAAAACCCACCACTTGGCTTTAGTCCAGGACAGGAATTTGGAGTTTTGAGCTAGGCTAATGTTTGATGCTCAGAAGTTGGACAGGAACATGTGCTCTGTGCCAGCCATGCTTTTTGAGAACTGGTGTCTGGGTTTAATTTCTACTGTCTGTCAGAGAGAAGCTTTGATCAGACTCTGCATTTTTTCACTTCAACTAAGTGACTAGAGGCTACTACTTGCCCATTTCTACCGCCTCTGTGTGAGCTCTGGTTTGGCAGGAATCTCAGAGATTTATTTCCATGAATTCCCTGGAATTGCCCTGCCCATCATTTCTCTCTCCTTTCCAGTCTCAGCACAGTTAGTGCTGGAGGTTGAGTGAGGGAGCCAGTGTGTGTCCAGGAAGGTATGGGATGAGAAATGGGGAGGGAGACCCACACATATTGCAGAAGGAAGTGCAGCAGGAATAAGTGACTGCAGCTGGGTCTTAATGGCTTTTCTTCTCTGCCGTCATTTTCCTTTAAGCCCAAAAGAAACTCTTTGTAATACGTGTTAAAATTATGGTTCAGATTTCTGATGATCAAGTTACATAGATTAAAGTAATGGATACCAGACTCTGCATCAATTCAGGTATAAATATGGATGAAATGAATGTACATTATCCACTGTTATAAATCTACATGTTCAAGGAAAGACATAAATCTCCTGAACCTTTCCTACCTCAGGCTATGAAGGTGTTGTTGTTTTTTTTCCCAGTGTTTTCGATGAAATTATAATTTGGAGTAATTTGCTGGTTTTGCAGAAACTTCCAGCTTTTTTTTTTTTTTACAAGAAAGGGTAGAGTATATTATTTACAATGGTGAGTCATTAAAATGCTCCAGGAAGTCATTGTTGCAGAGGGGGTTGGAGAGGGAAGGGGTTATGCGGCATTCCAGATGTGCATGTGTGGAGAGCGGTGGTGCATTTGGAGAAATTTATAGCACCTGGTTCCATTGTAAAGGGTCTTGGCCTGGGGGCATTTCTCTTCTCTTCCCCTCCCTTCAGCCCTATCACCACTGTACACACAGGGGCTCAAAGGTGGCAGTGCCTGATGGGCACAGGGCCACAGGACGTTGTGGTCTGGCAGGAAAGAGGGACTTTTCATTCCGTCTAAGCCACAAAGCTGATGAAAGTGTCTGCTCTCCTTGCAGCCTGGGGCCCCCTCACATGAGCAAGAGCAAGTCTCATAGTGAAAGAGAAAAAACAGAGCCAAGCACTCTGCAGAAAGAAGTGCATACTCCAGCTCTGCTGTGCAATAACTGCATGTTTGGGTACCTCTTATCTCTTTGGTTTTCAAAATCTGTAGAATGGAGATAATAGTATGCATTCCATAAGGTTGGTGTGAGGAATAAAGGAAATTATAGGTGTGAAGACACCTAGCACAACTCCTTTACCTTCCTGCTGAAACTCCCCACTTGTAGGGATGAAAGACTCTTGGCCGCCATTGTTCCAAATTGCATCATAAATTCTCAACCATTTTCTCATCTTTTATGGCTCTTAAATCCCCTTAGCTAAGTCTACTGCTCCATCTACATGGAGGTTCAGCTATTTCTAAAGTCCTGAGTTATAAATGAAGAACTCACCAAGGAGACCCAGGCTCTTTCCATAAGATTGCTCCACTCTCCCTCCTCTGTGGCATCCACATCATAAGCTCGCAGCCACCTTGCCCTCATTCCAGCCAGCAGAAGGGAAAAGGTGAAAAGCAGGGCATGCCCTTGCCCTTTAAGGACTAACCTGGAAATGACCTGCTTCACTTTCTGTTACTTTCCACTGGCCTGAATTTAGTCACAGGGCTATACCTAATCATGAAGGGGGTTAGGGAAAGTATTCTTTACTTGAGTTAGCTATGGACCTAGCTACATTCACTTACCATGGAAGAAAGGGAGATGGATACTGGGGGACAATTAGCGTTCTCTTCCAGAGGAGGTCACAGGATTTGTGCCAGAAACTCAAGTAGAGCCATATGCTGGAAGAGAGAGATTTTAGGCTCTGTAGGGGTTGAGAATGGATGACTGTAATCCCATGAATCATGAAATGTATCTGTTTAATAATCAGATTAATCAGGATGTAGCCGTGTGGCTTGCTTTGTTAATGTGCTAATTCCAGGGACTACAGTAACTGGGCCCGTCCTATTATGGGTCAAATAAAATTTACCTTCCTGTGTAGCCACAGACAGTCATCTCATGCCTACCCGATGTGCTTTTTACCTCTGTACCCCCAGTGCATTTCCCACAGCCTGCCACACAGATTTTCATTCAACAGTTGTTGAATGAATGGATGAGTTAATGTGAGAGTAAATAAAAGGACAAGCAATGACTGGGCAACAGGATGTGGGTATGTGGGGATGTCAGTGGGTACTTTCATAAATAGAACCAAACCATCTCTACTCTCCTGAGCCCATCACCTCCCTTACTCTTAAGAAATGTCCTTGCTTTGAATTTAGACAGAGAAAATAAAAAAACATTTTCAGTACCTACACTGGCCCAAACAAACTTATTGGCATCTACATTCATCCTTTCTCCCTTCCCTTCTGCTAAATCGGGTAAAGTATTTCCCTGGGAAATACTTCCCTCGGGCTCCTTCAGGCTTTAAATACCTTCAAATTTCTCCCACGTTAAAAAAAAACTAAATATTCACTGAATCCTTACCTGCGGTTGTATCTTATCCTCCACCTTCACAGCCAAACTTCTTAAAAGAATTGGCTGAACTCACTGTTTCCTCTTTTTACCTCCCATTCCCTCTCTATCTTATTGATGTTTGGTTTACATCCCTGCCTCTAATCTGACACTCCCCTGATAAAAGTTACTGATGATCTCCCTGTTGCAAATGCCAAGGGCATTTTCTTTCTTTCTTTCTATTATTATTATTATTTTTATGAGACAGTCTCCGTCTGTCGCCCAGGCTGGAGTGCAGTGGCACAATCTCGGCTCACTGATACCTCCACCTCCTGGGTTCAAGCGATTCTTGTGCCTCAGCCTCCCAAGTAGCTGAGATTACAGGTATGTGCCATCACGTCCAGCTAATTTTTTTGAATTTTTACTAGAGATGGGGTTTCTCCATGTTGCCTAGACTGGTCTCGAACTCCTGGCCTCAAGTGATCCACCAGCCTTGGCCTCCCAAAATGCTGGGATTACCTGTGTGAGCCACCCGCAGCTGGTCAGCCAAGAGAATTTTCTAGTTCTTATCTCATTTGGCCTCTTGAAAGCATTTGATTCTGTTGATTACTCTTTTTGAGAAGTTCTCTTCCCCCGGGTCATGCAAAACACCACCCATCCTGGTTTTCTTCTGCTGCTTCTTGGGATGCTTTCTCTATGTCTCCTTATGGGCTCCCTTCTTCTGCTAATCAGTAAATGTTAGTGTTTCTCAGGCATCTGTTCTGGGCTAGCTTTTATTCTACTTTACACACAGATCCCTGGATATATCATTCACTGCCATTGTATTTATGCAGATGTAATGCATACTCACATGATACCCAAATATATATTTCTAGGCTACTCTTCTCTCTAGAGTACAGATTTAACTAGCTCCTCGACATCTTCTCTTAGATATTCTAGAGGCACCTAGAACACTGTGTAAAATTAGATGCGAGTCCTGTCACTTATTATCCTTGTGCCTTGCTTTTGCTTCACTGGTAAAGTGAAGGTCATAATGATTCAGGATTTTAATGAGGTCAAATGGGTCAATATATGGGAATGTGCCGTGTGTACTGTAAAGTGCTATATGCATGTGAAGGATGACAATTACCTTATAACAACCAACAAGGCTTCACTGAATACTTACAGTGTGTCCATCGTGGTTCTGAATGTCGGACTCATTCAGAATAGACTAGAACGAGCCATGCCTCCTGTCCTGAGGACCTTACAGATTAATTGGGAAGGGGCAAATGAAATAATGAAGCACTAAACTGTGATGTAAGCAACACAGCTTGCAAGAATAGAAAGGCCAATGGTGTTTCCAGTGGAAATCAAGGGCAGTTTCCTATTTTCTTCCAGCCCCTCTCACCCTCTTTTGAAAGTCATTACCCGGCCCATAGCCTGGAAGATGCAGCTCAAGTTACACATGACACCTGCAGCTACAGCCATTTGGACTGGTATCTGTGTGACCTACACTAAGCCAACTAGGATGTCTCTCACAGGGATATGTTATTCAGGCAGTGTTGAAAAATGGTAATGTAGAGATGACACCAGATTTAATGCCATGGGGACAAATAAGTAAAGATTCTGAGAACCAGAATCGAAAATCTGGCAGTGCAAGCCTATCCATTGAATTGAGAATGGAGCAGATAAGTGGGGAAAAGTGGAGCTAAGAGACCCTGTGGTCCCAGGAAGAGCAATGCAGAATAGAAGCTGTAAGGTAGTTGCCCAGTTCACTTGAAACCTGTCTGGGTTTCTCACAATCATGTTAACTTTACCTCAAAGTCCTACGTTAATTCTAGTGTCACATGGCACCATAGCACATTTATGCTTAGTTTTCAAATAATAGATATTTTAAAGTAATAAAGATATTTAATAATAATATTATACTCTTTAGTCATGTACCTGTATAGATTTAAATTGCAATTTGATTCAAGCTTACAAGATTATATGGGGATTTGATTTTTTTAACCTCTGGTTTGTAATAGAAATTACTTTCCTTCATGCATCCGTTGCAAATTAATTGCGTTAATAATAATAACCACACTATTGTCTTATTGTATAGTGATTTACAATTAATAAAGGGATTTAACATACATTATCTCATTTGAGCCTCACAGTGACTCTGTGTGACTCAGAGAGGGTAAGTAAATTATTTAGTTACACAGCAGGATTGGGACATAAATTGAGTCCTCCTCACTCTTAATCCAGTCCCAAGGCAGATTAAAACTACAAAAGTTCAATCAGTGCATTCTCCAACCCACGCCTGAGTTAGGTATGTGTGAAGCTATCTTTTGGAATATGACAAAGATGCTGAAGTCATTGCTGATCTTTTGAATTCACATCCCCAAAGTCCCAACAGAGGAGAAAGCTCAAATTCAGCTAAGTTCACCAACATTCTCTGATTTCTTATTATATTCTAGCTCTGAGCTAGACTCAGGGTTTTTGTGAATGAACTTGCTGAGTCTGAAACATCTGTATTAGAACAGGTAGACACTCAAGTCTGACCTTTTAAAACATCAAGTTTAACCTTCAAGAGGTCTTCTTTACAGCAATAGAGACTGTGTTACCCAGGAACAGTGGTTGGCTGTTTTGTGGGAAACTTCCCCATCTGTTCAGCTCTGACATCTGGCTCCCAGGACACCTGATAGAGAGGATGTCAAAAGCAAAGAGCATGGTAGCTCAAGGCTTCTGATACTGAGATTAGAAACTTTCACATAATCTCATAAAACTTGAAAAATCTGCTAGATCATTCCCGGGACAATCATGCTCTCTCCCATATATTTTGAGAGGAGGGAAAAGTCCAGTTTGGTCACCATTTCCAAAGAGTGGGTGGAGAGAATGCTTCCAAATATTCCCACTCTCAAGAGAGCAGAACATTTCCTGGGAAGAAATAATAGGTGATCTGATCTCTTTGCAGTATACTCTGAGAATGGGCTGGGGCTAATGGAATGCCTGCCAGTCTGTCCCCACCCTCCAATTGCTCTGCCTCTCACGGCAGGTCCCTCTGGTCCTCCTCCCTCACAAATGCAGAGAATGATGGCAGGTTCCACAAACACAAAAGGATGCAGTGTGGTGGTTAAAATGGACAAGAAGACGCTAAACCACTAATCATACTCCACTAGCATTCCCACCCCTCCCCAAGTGCCCCAAGATACAAAGGGAAACATTTAGACATTAAGTACAGATTAAAGAAACCCAAAAAAGGCCACCAATGCTTAGACCCAAAGACATGACAGATCATTTGCTTCCCGTTTAAGTTGGTCTTAGGTACAATAGCTGAGATTCCTTGATTTCTGTGAAATGGAAAGAGGAACTGTCAGGTTTGGGAATTGCCCTTCAAGGCTTCTTTGTGTGTGAAAATCACAGAGCCGACCCCTAGAATGTAGAGAGGCCCACCATGTGGGACTGTTTCCTCTGGAGAAATTCCAAGCTTCCTCTTCCTGGGGCCTCCAGCCAAGGATGAGCTTCTTACCAATATCTGCTCTTGCAGAGTCCCAGGGCTCAAGAGAGCAGCATTTTGGTAGAGCTGGGGGAGGATGGAGTGCCTGCTACTGTGCTATATTCTTTCTTAAAGCAGATATCAGTCAGCTTCGCTTAAAGAGAATGTCAAATCCTATCCCTTTCTGAGTTAAGCTTCCTGGGAAGCGCCTTCAGGACTACACAGGGTATGTAATTCCAAGTGATCTTTAATCTAATTTAATTGACTCTGAGAGAACCCCTCATTTCTCCTTGGAGGGCCAAAATATTGATGGGACATTTTCAGCCCCAAAGAATTGGAAGCCAGTGACCCCTCCATCAATAGGGGTCATTAGACCACAAGAACCTGTTGCTGCCCTGAGAAGGACAAGGTGAAGGGGGGTGGGCCAGCCCAAACCCAGAAAGAGGAACCAAGATCACAGAAAGAGACAAGTATGAGCCATCCTTTAAGAGACACTGGGCATATAGGAGGGGCATTCAGTGTGGTGGTCAAGGCTGCAGGTGCAGAAGGAAAGAATAAATCTTCCAAAGGACCTACCAGTTTGCACCATTTTATACCAAAAAAAAAAAAAGTAACCTGGAAAATTCATCTTGCATCCAGTGTTATCCAAAGTGAATCCCATTTTTCTCTGTGGCTTCTCTTGCTCTTTCTAAAATGCATTAATTCAACTATGTTTTAATGAAAGAGTGGAACATGCACATCTTGAGTAAACTGACAGTTACAACTCAAAATGATGAGTAAACACTGGGGACATCTATTCCATCTGGCCTGGGAGTTTGGGGGATGAGAAGGCTTTCTCTGGGGGCCAGTGCAGCACAGGAGTCCCAGAAGAGACCACAGCCAAGGACCATAGTGTGCATGAGAGATTTCATTTAGATCATTAGGGGAATTAGAAACTAACCCTTATATAGTCTTCAAGTGTCAGGCACTGTTCTAAGCTCCTAATATGTACTAAGTCATTTAATCCTCACAGTAACCCAATGAGGTATAGAATTATTTTCCTCCCTTTATAGCTAAAGAAACCAAGGCTCAGAGATGTTGCATAGTTTGTCCGAAACCATGAGAACAGATGCCTCCGACTCTCACCCAGGCTGCCTACTCTGCTGATCAGGTTCTTAGATCCTCCTCTCCATGACCTGTACTATAATAAGGAAAAACTCAGACAGTTGGAGCCAGAAAGCAAGGTGGGAAGCAGAGAATGAGCAATGAAGAGTAAAAGAGGAGCAGGGACTTTGAATATCATGCTAAGTTCTCATTTCTTTTACTGGGGTGCAGAGATTGCTAAGGTTCTATGATGAAAGGTCAGGGGACATGTTAAGCCAAAATACATCATTTTAAAATTTAAAAACTTACATAAAAAATGTCTTAAGTGTGTATTCAAATTATTGTGATATACCCCCCAAAAGTAACAACAACCAACTACTTGATCTTACAAAAGCACAGGGTTTAAAAAACAAAGTCATCTTAATTTTATTTCCTATCGGTAAATTTCCTGATAATGCAAAAGTATAAACAATTCTTCTGTGTGAATATGTGTATGTTATTTGGGGACTTGTTTTTTAAATTTTTATGGGTACAGAGTAGTTGTATATATTTATGGGGTACATGAGATGTTTTGGTACATACTTACAATATGAAATAAGCACATCATGGAGAATGGGGTATCCTTCGAGTTACAAACCATTCAGTTGCACAGTTAAAGTATAACAACCTTGAATTTGAAAGTATTTATCAGTGGTTAAAAACCAGAAGTTTTCAGCATAAACTTGAAAGTAGTAAAAATCTGCAAAATGTGCAAAATTCAGCTTAACTTAAAATCACTGGCCACTATGAGAGCCATGGCCTTGACCCAAGATTCCTCATAATTAACCACAACTAGTGGATCAATAGATTATTTCAGAAACTAGCTGTAAAAGCTTATGCTTAAATAGTTCTTAAAATATAAGCCTTATTGTTGTATAATATTTTGCTTCCACAGGGCCTAAACATTGTTATCTCTTGTGGAAGGAGATTTTGAATCATAAATCTATAGACACATAGTTTTGGCATTCATTAATTTTAATTCCTGCAAATTTTGTAGAACAATGATCCAAACTTTTTGAACCCAAAAACATAATTTAGATGGGATCAATATGATTTTTAAAAAGTGAAACAAACAAAACACTTCTTCTGAGTTCAATATCAGAATCATCTTTAAAGGTGAAATATAAGTAATGGGGAAAAAATAAAGATACAACCAAACCTAGTTGAGGTCAAAAAAAGGCAGCCATGCTGAAAAAGCATGCCATTCTTGAGTGACATGATCACATCTTGCTTTTTAATATGGTTAGAAGTGCATTCTTGAATAACTGGTTGAAAAACTAAAGTTAATCTGATTCTTTAAAGTCTATATAAAACACTATTGCCAATCGTGGTTATTTCATTTGTCATTCCTATAGTATTTTCAAATTCAGAGTATTTGGGTTAAAATGTTTATTTGTAAAGTAGCAAAATAATAGAAGTATTTTCAAAATGATATGTAATTTTAACTAAGCTTATATATGTGTAAAAATAATATATACATAGATAAACACATAAGATTTGTGTGCTCGGAAGTGAAAATAGCTCACATTAAGACTACTATGCATCCTTGAATATGTCAGTCACCTTTGCATTATTCTCTGAGAATGCATCACCCCAAAAATATATCTCTTGAATTTCTTGGTATGTTCAATATGGCAGAAAACTGAGAAATCATGTTTATTAAATAGTGGTAGAGAGATTATTTTACAATAAAGCTTAAATAAAATAAGATGTGACTTTGAAAACTTACTCTACTCTGCAAAGAGTGTATTGGTTTAACAAGAGAAATAATCAGGTTGTGATTTTTTCATGAAGGGCTAAACAGCCCTTTTTATCTTAGAAGGGAAAAAAAAAACAGAACAAAGAATGGGAACCTGGATAAAGAGAAGGATTTAATTGTTCACCTCAATGATTAAAAAGTGACACACAAATTTTGGTTTTTTAGAGATATTTCAAACCTTTCCATGACCAAATGAAAGACAAACCAATTGTTTTTATTGCAACAAAGTAAAGTTTGAGAATTGAATGATGAATAATGGGACTTTACTGACTTTACTATGCTTAGAACCCAATTCCTATTTCATAGATAGATGTTTATTAAATAAAGAAAACACATTATAACTTCCACCTTCTAAATAGCTGATTACCTGGAAATAGACCTAGATTGTCACGTTCCTATCTGGTGACTTTATCTTCTCGCCTCAGCTGAATGCAGGTAGAAGTGTCTTGCCAATTAAGATCCCTTCAAATAGAAATTTTGAATTAGAGTCTTGAAACACTGAATCAATTAATTATGAGTAGCTTAGACATCCAGTTATAAACAGCCAGGTTAGTAGTTTAACAAGAGAAATAATACAGCGAGACTGTATACTTTATCATCCAAATCAGTAATTAAAGTGTGTCCTATTATTTGGCAAATAAAGTTTGCCCTATTTATTAATATACCAGCATAATGTGATAAACTGGGAGTGTCAAGATACTCGAATAAATGTGGTCGCCACATATTTATTGGTGGAATAAGATGGGCCCTACTTCCTCAGATACCCGCCCACCTAAAAAAAACAAAAAGAATAAAAAAGAAAATTTAATGTGGCATTTTTTCTCTGAAATAGTGAAAGAGGTTGACAAGTGAACTATGGACAATTAATACCATCTATACCATAAGAGTCTTGAGATTGAGATGGGCCCCTTCCATTTCTGATGTTGTACCCCATGGCTGTATGTGTTTATCTGCTTGCCTCCTTGTGAGTATTTCTCTGGAAGAGTTCAAAAATAATTATGTAGGAATGGGAAACACTGAAGAATAGAGCAGGGAGAGGCCTTACAAAACTGGATTCTAGATGGATTCCTCACTGTAGCTGCAGAGAAGCTGACGAAGAGAGGTGGGATGAAAATAAAGAGGGGGATTCAAAACTGATGTAGTCAGTTGCCCAAGTGAGAAATAATGAGAGCTGGAGCTATGGCCTTGACTCTCAGTTGAGAACATATTAAAGAGATGAGAAGCTTTACCACTTCAGGTCATAAGCAGCTTTGGTCAACCATGGAGACTCCTACTAACCTGGCTGTTTATAACTGGATGTCTAAGCTACTCATAATTAATTGATTCAGTGTTTCAAGAGTCTAATTCAAAATTTCTATTTGAAGGGATCTGAATTGGCAAGACACTTCTACCTGCATGCAGCTGAGGCCAGAAGATAAAGTCACCACATAGGAACATGACAATCTAGGTCTATTTCCAGGTAATCAGGTATTCAGAAGATGGAAGTTATAATGTGTTTTCTTTATTTAATAAACATCTATCTATGAAATAGGAATTGGGTTCTAAGCATAGTAAAGGATAAAGAAAAAATAAATGGAAGGAAATTAACACTTATTAAAAGGTGGCAATGTGTTCCACACACTTATTCTTCATGATACTTCCTTGTGGTAACTGCTGTTCCTGCTTTATAGATGGAGTGAGGTAAATTTCCCATGGTCACATGGCTGTTAACACGGGACTCCGAATTCAAGACAGACACATTCTGCCTCTAAACCACAGGTTTCTCCAGCCTCTGCCCAGTGTGGCTTGAGCTGGCATGAGAGGGAGAATGGCCTTTAGGACCTCCCCACTTGGAATAACAATTCACTTCCTGGCGAGAAAACAGGAAGCCCCCAATATGGTCCCTTCCTGACTATCCTCTCTCTGAAACAAGTAGGTCTTCCTCAAATTCTTTTCATGATTAAATTTTATCCCTAAAGGCCCCAAATGAGGTCACTTATATCTGTGAGTTCCAGTTCTACTTCACCTATTTAATTAACAAATTTTAACCCAGTGCCTTCCCTGTGCCAAGCTTGAGACCACACCACCAGATATTTAAAGGCTGACCTTGCCTTTAAGGAGCTCTCAGCCTGGCAGAAGAAATGGGACATGAGCATAGATCATCAAAATGCAAGGCAAACACAGATGAGTAATTGCAGTGATGTGAAAATTTTAGGAGAGATCATCCAGGTAAAACTTCCAGACAAGAAGACATTTGGAATGGCCTAGAAAGAGACATTGAAGTTCCATATGTGGCATTGGCATAAAACATCTCAGGTTGGGGAAAGGTATAAGCAGAGGCCTGGAGGCTGATACTGAGGAGCCTGCAAGAACAGCAGGAAGGAGTGCAGTGAGGATGAAGCTCATGTGGATGCAGTGAGGAGTGGGTACTGGATGTCTTTGCCCACTCTGACACTGACATTCAAGAGTTTGATTGGATTCCTGGTTATTCTCAGGAGGGGCTGCAGCAATCTTTGAGGCTGGTGCAAGGCTGAGCACTTCTATCTTTGTGCAGTCTTTCTCCTTTTGATCAGTCCCTGGACATATGAAATCCACCTCCTCTCCTCATACTCAAGTATCAAACCTCATACTTGTATTCAAAATGGTGTCAAAAAAAGGAGAAGAAAAGGGCAATTGATTTGAATGTTTCAGTCATTTCCTTGGGAACACACTGAGCTTTTACTCTGGGGTGACTGTGAAAAAGACTCTGCCTGTGATTAGATCTGTCAGGCAGTGGCTGTGTTACACCAGGTACCTGGGGAAATAAAACCACGGGCAATTGCCAATGTCTGCATGCCCAGAGAGCTGTCTGCCGTGCAGTACAATAACGGGCAAGTTTGTGTGCATGCGTATAGGAACCATTTGGCCAGGACTTGGCAGGGGGATTCTAGATTTGAATCAGGGTGGGAAAGATGATCTCTAAGGCTCCAACTCAAATCTCGGATTGCATGACTCTGTATATGCAGCCAGAGGCACACAATGAAAAGATGGCTAAGGGTATGTAGAGTGAACAGGTAGGTCCCCACTTTACTTCCCATCTTATCTGTATCCATTTCAAATACCATGCAGCTACCAGAGTGCCATTTCTACAAAATAAATGCAACCATGTCATCCTCCCTTTCCTGCTTAGAAACCTCAATGTTTCCAATTATCTAGAGGATAAAGTCCAAACCACTCAAGACTTACCATGACCTAGCCTCAGACTAATTTTCCAGCTTCATCTCTCATCAGTCCCCACTTTACCGTTTACACTCCAGCAACAGTGGCTTTGCAGGTCCTGCACTCACTTCCTGCTTATATTGTTTTCCTCTTGCCCCCCACCCCCCCGCCTCTCTCTCACACACACACACACACATCTAAAATGTCTGTCTCAATCTTGCCTCCCAGTTAATATTACCCCATTTTTCTCAAGACTCAGTTCTTACCTCTTTTAGAAACCTTCCCTGATCATACTAGTCTCAGAGTGGTGCACACATTTCTATCATATCCTTAAAATATTGAATTATAAATAGCTATCTACTTATATGATTGGGTATTTGACTTCATGGATCTTTGAGTCTCTTGTGCCTAGCACACACAGTGTCTGGTTCAGTGATGAATAGTGACTGTTAATTGCATAAATATTGAATGGAAAGGATGGATGGATAGTAGATGGAAAAGTATCTAAAAAGTAGATAAATTCCCAGATTCTATTGCTAATCTCAGCGAGGTGTTATTTTCTTTAGTTTTAGTGAAGGAGCTACTGTGGCACAGAAAGGCAAATGTCACACAGCTAACACTAACCTTTAAAATCACAAAACAAGCTCCTTGTTCCTGACATAGTTCTCATTGCTCACTCCTCTGTCCTCTGGCACTCCTCAGTGGCTAAGTACCTATTGCATCTTGAATCCTGAATGACCTAGACCTAGAATTCTACAGCTCAAAAGAACCTAAAAGAAGATCCATCCTAGTATGCCCCCCACTTTCTCTTTTAGTAGATAATTGATAGCTATAAGGGTCAATACTTCATTCATCCTTCAAAATCCTGCTCAGTTATAACCACTATTGCCATCATGAGTAAATGTAGAATTATGACTGTGATAGATGCTACAGGGAAGTAGGTGGCACAAGAGCCTATGATATAATAACACTAACCAAGTCAGCAGTCTGATGAGTAGCTAATTAATCATTAAGTAAATATTCATTGACTGAATACTCTGTGCCGGAGACTCTCCTAAGTGCTGAGTATGAAACAGTGAGTAAACAGTCAACATCCCTGCTGTGTGGGGCTTACATTTTAGTGGGAGGGAAGAGACAATAAAGAAAGAAATAGATGCTATCTTGGAGAGTGATATGATAGACATTCACTAGCAAACAGTAAGTAGTAGTTCAAGAAGTAGAAAGAACATGGATAAGGTGCCAAAGGAGTGTGAGGTGATAGCAAACATTTTTGAGGAACCGAAAGAAAAATTCCTTGGTTAAGATATGGAGACAAGAGTGTCACAGAAAGAGACCAGATAGTCATGTCTCAAATTATGGTGGGTCTTGAAAGCCAAGTTAAATTTGCATTAGCTCTTCAGTGCAAGAAAAATTGTTTGTGGGTTTTAAACAAAGAGTGGCATGATTAAATTGTGTGTTTGTGTACGTGTGTGTGTGTTTGTTTTAAATATCTAGTCATTGTGTAGAAAATGACTGGGAAGGGAACAGTAGTAACCCTGGAGAGATAGGTCTGAAAGATATCCCAGTAATTTAGGTGAGAGATAATGGTGGCTTGGACTAGGATGTAGAGGAGATATCAGGGGTGACACCTAGGGTTCTGTCCTGAGCAACAGGGTAGATAATGATGCCATTTAATTAGAGGGATGACACTGAAAGAGGAAAATATTTGGGAAAGAAAAAGTCATACTTCAAGAATTAAGTTTGGGCCATGTCATGGCTGAGATGCTCATGGGGCATCACATTTAGGGTATTTGTTAATAATTCGATTATCTGACTCTGTAGTTCACAAGAGACGGGCTGAAAATTTAATTCTGAATAACTTGAAATATAGAAAGACTATACAAAGTCATGAGAGTGGATGAACTCACCTAGGGAAATGTAGGATAAGATAAGAAGAAATTAGAAGAACCCCAATGTGAAGAGGAGTCAGCAAAGGAAATGAGAAGCAGAAGCAAAGGAGAAAAAAGGAGATTGTGATGTGACAGAGGCTAAGGTACGAGAAAATCTCAAGAAGAAAGAAGTATTGGATGCTGGTGGGATTTTGAGTAAGGTACTGGCTGAGGACTGTTCACTGGCTTTGTGACAGATGGTTATTGGTCAGCATCATGTCCAGATACCATGTTTAACAATTTTTTTGATGAGTTGGCTGTGAAAGAAAGTAATTGCTATCAAAAATATGAATAAGTATGACCTTTATTTTTGTTTTTAATATCTATCCACTTTTCTGGGCTGTAAATTTTTTAAGATCAGGGAACAAATTTCCTTTATTTCTGTACACTCAAGACCTTACACTTGAGTATACCCTGTATCCTCAACACATTTATCAGTTCATAGTAAAGCTTAGTAATATTTGTTAAGCAAATGAATAAATGAGGATTTAGAGAATATTTTGGACAACTATTTTCTGGAAAATTATAAAGTTACATTTCAAAAATATTCATGGCATTGGAAGTTAATTTTTTGGGAGCAATTATGCTGTCACACTGTCACTGTCAGGAAGATACTTTGGGTTGAAAAAATATAGTCTCCAAGTCTTTGCTATTGTGAATAGTGCTGCAGTAAACATACGTGTGCATGTGTCTTTATAGCAGCATGATTTATAATCCTTTGGGTATATACCCAGAGGGGTGGGGGGAGGGGGAAGGGATAATATTAGGAGATATACCTAATGTAAATGACCAGTTAATGGGTGCAGCACACCAACATGGCACATGGCACATGTATACATATGTAACCTGCACGTTCTGCACATGTACCCTAGAACCTAAAGTATAATTTATATATATATATATATAGTCTCTGCTCTGCTATTTTTTTGGGAAAAACATTCCATTGTGACTGTTGTCTCCTTAAATTTTGCCCCTTCTCTTTTTTTCCAGTGCTGTTGCCTCAAATCTGACCCTTATTATTTCTCATCTGTTCTCATGCAATTTTCTCCCTTAACCCATAGCTGAATTAAGGCCCTTAAGTGCTCTGGGCACTGCAATAGCCTTGCTGCTACATATAAATTAAAATCAAAATAATGCCAACCTGTAAATCCCAAAGCTTATACATGTGCTCATATTAAGAGAACTTCCTTCTGTATTTCACTGCCTGGAAAAGTTTGGGTAAATCATGCAGCTGATGCAGCTCATTGGCCCCTGCATTATTGACACCCTAAGCATGAACTTACTACTGAGGAATCCATTATCCTCTAGGCTTGCCTCTCTTCAGTCACCCTCTTTCAGAATGATCATAAATCACAGATTGAAGGTTTCACCTGAAATCCCTTATGGGCTCCCCATGACTGATAGAACAGAGTTCTTTCTCCTAGCTTGGCTTACAAGGTTTTCAATTTTATGGTCCCTCAAGATGCCTTGTTCTCATCTGATGAAATAATCCACATGTGCTCCCTCCATTCTGGATTGTTTGTCGTTCTCTGAACACCCCTTGGGCTCCCTTGGATCCATACATTTGCATGGCCTGATCTTTCTGCCCAAAGTATACCTCTCTAGCTTCTTCACCCATCTAATTCCCCCATCTCTCCAGACCCAGCTAAAAGTCACCTGCTCTTCCAGGTCTTCACTGGGTGTTAGATATGTGCCCCCACCTTTGCCATCACAGCACATTCATTTTTTTTGTCTACTCATTGTATTGCAACTGACCTTCCATCTTTCTCACATCACTCCTCCTAGCAATGATAGCCAACATTTATTGATCCTTTAATAAACTCTCCAGGGGTTGTGTCATTTAACTCAATACCACTGTGTGAAGTAGGTATAATTATTATCTGTATTTCACGTATAATAAAATTCAGAACTACTGACTGGTCCAAAGTTACACAGATATCAAGTTCTAGTCCAGGAATTCACAACAAACTGTCTGACACTGGATACCTACTCTTAACCACTACACTAGACCATGAGCTTCTTGAGTGCAAGAAATAAACCATTTTTATCTTTCCAGATCTTTGAAGGAGGCTGGGAACAATGAAAACAGTAGATAAATGTTTACTGTATGAATAGAATGAATGAATACATTTATCTTACAATTTATTTCTGTTATCTTCTAGTGTTGCTAAAATATTTGATTATGTGAATTTTTATTTTATTTTTATTTCTATCATATTTGAATTAGAATTCAAAATAGAAAGGAGTCTAGCATTAACCAGAGAGTGGAAGCATTGGAAGGGCTTCCGCATGGATGAAGAATAAGATTTGTTTGGTAAGAGCTTGAATTAGGACAAAGGGAAGGAAGCAACAGGGAAACAGTGCTTACTACTGGGAATAAACACACTCTAATTTCTAGAGCTGTATAAAGATGGAATGGGTTGCTCAGTTAGGGGATAAGATCCTCCTTCCTGGAAGTATGCAGACAAAGGTTGAGGCTACTTGGTGAGATGTTGTAGAAGAATTTCAGTGATCTAATGATACATTTTATTGGATGGCCTTGAAGCTGTTTTCCATCCAGAAATTTTATGAGTCCATGAAATAGAGAGGGGAAAGGGGAAGAAAAGAACAAAAATCTAAATAGATGAGATGATATATTTTAATTTTACTGTTAGTATAACTGAAAGTCTATATTTATACAAAAGCAACATTTGTTGGGATGTATCTGTTAAAGCAAAAGGAACAGAGATGGGAAGAAGCTAATTGAAATAACATACCATGGAGATTTCTTTCCAGGATGTCAGTCCCACCATGCTCTTCCTCTACTCTTAAGCCTCCTCATTTCTACCACCTAGCTTGGAGGTCACTCTCCTGTGAGTGATGGGCTTTCCTGATACACAACCACAGAGAGCTAGAAATGGATCCTTTCCCTCAAATGGGCCTAGGAAAACTGCTCCAGTAGAGGAGAGATGGAAAAAATAAAGGGGCTCTCACACTGGTTGGGGAAGAATTTTGTGACTAAATGCTTCACTTTTGTGGGGAGGGATCAGAGTTAGAAATGATGTTTCCAATCCTAGCAGTAGGAGTGAGTAGCTCCATGTATTTCTAGGCTTCATGTTTTCCTGGACTTGTGGGAGAAAAAGAGATGAACAAAGAGAGACTTAAGAGTAGAGGAATGGCAGCTAGTGAGGCCACTACAGTCTTGGCTTGTTGGAGAGGCTAAGCCTAGAAGTGGGGATCAAGGCTGTGCCTGCGGGAAGAGAGGGTTCCAGCAGCAGTACCAGGGCCTTGGCAGCAGGAAGGGTGAGTCTGGCGTGAATGGGGTCATCAGGGGTGTTTGGGGAGGCCCTCTAATACCAAAGAGCTGTGGAGCTGGGGGATGGAAGCTGACATCCTAGTGACTTGACTGGTATGGCTGGCCTAAGAATGGCTCTTTGTTACCATCTCCTTGGAACTGTGAGATATGAATACTCTCTTTAGGTTTTACTTAAGCTCCTTGAAGGAGAAAAATCCTACCTTGTTCATATTTGTTTCCCCTGATTATAGCATAGTGCCTGGGACACCACATGCTAAATAGATGTTTCTTGAATGAACTGAACAAATAAATAAATGAATCAAGAGTAAGCACTAATTTTTATATGAGGGACTATATTAGACACCTGATAGGAGACGAAATCTACAAATGAGGAAGACAGCACCCAGGTTCCTAAAGAGGCTTATGTCAAGTGGGGAAGCTGAAGTTACATATGATTAATACAGTGGAATAAAGAAAGTGCTGAGTTTAGACTGAGTTTAGAAGTTACTTGCCTCAAATTCCACATGAGCACATTGGTATTTTGATATCAAAGGCTTTCCTCCTTCTCCTTCTCCTTCCCCCTCTCCCCTCCCCCTCCCCCCTTCTTCTTCTTTCTTTCTTTTCTTTTTTTAACATCTGATTGTTGATGTAATATGTTGAATTTTGAATCCCATCTATTTTGAATAATTCCGAAAATGTTAAAAGGAAGGACATATATAAATTATAAGCTCACCATTCAGCAGTAACCTATTATTACAACTTTGGTGTATTGCTTTCCAGACTTTTTCTTTGAAATTTTTTCTTCACAATTGAGATCACACTGCACCTAGAATGGTATTATTCTTTCCTCTTCTCCCTTTACCATGTCATTAAAATATTCTTCTTAATCATGATGTGGGGCTTTCTGGTAGCCTATGGCATGTCTGTACAATGACTCATTTAATAATTCTCTTTTTGTTAGACATTTAGGTTCTTCAAATTTTAATATTATAAATAATATTGTACATTTCAGAGTAGTCTAGATTCCTAGAAAAGTAATTCCCAAAAAGCAAAATGCAGAGGTTATTTTTATAATATTTGATATACCTTGACAAATTGCCCTCTGGGATGATTGAACCAATTTCTACTCTTACTGGTTCTGTGTGCAAGTGTCTACCTTACTGCGTGTAGGGGCATTTTAAAATTCTGTCGTGGCACCAAGTTGATGTCAGAGAATTTTTCCCAACACTCTGGAGAGGGGAGAAATCAGATCGAATAGTTATATTTAAATGTATTCTACATCACTTTCTCATATTAAATTAGCAAAACAATATAATATTTACCTGGCACTGGCAAGTCTTGAGATGGTAACTCTCACATTGTTAATGGCAGAATAAAATGATGCAACACTTTCAGAAAGGAATTTTGGGAATACTTTTTAAAAATCATCAGTGGTTATGTAATCTCACATCTGAAAATGTTTCTCAAAAAACCAATCTGAAGGAAAAAAGCTACTTTCCTCAACAGGATAGAATGCAAAAAAAAGTTAAGTTTCCTATAAATGTTCAATATGGAGGGGAATGTCTAAATAAATTATGGAATATCTACTCAATGGACTAGCAGTGTATTTATTTTAAAATGTTATAAAATACTTGTGCAGATATAAGAAAGCAAAAAATTATTAAAACTTAGTTGTAATTATATGAATATGACACCATTATGTGGGCAAGATGGAAAAGGGTCAATAAATAGAAAAGTCGGCTTTGTTGATGAATATGGAAGTAAACATGCACTTATAATGTATTTTTAAAAATTGTTTTGTCTTCATTTTTTTCTCTTTATTTTCAGTTCCATAAGGCGGCTGTCTCCCTTTTCATCCCAAAGTAAAATCATGTATAAATGACTCTCTAAAAGGCATATAGTAAATGTTTTCAGGGTGAGATCAAGGTCACATGTAATATGAGATCCTTACGTATGACCTCAACCTGGGAGAGCCAAGGAAATCATACAGCAGTTTGTTTTCCAAGATTCAAAAAGACTCACCACTCTAGTCAGTTAAAGAAGAATTCCTACAGGCCTGGAGGAACTTCACAAAGATTGGAAAGAATGCATTTGGCAGTGAGTCCCTGGCCTGAGCAGCTGATTTTTAGGGAGAGGGAAGGAAATCCCAGATAAAAGCAGATGTCATCAAGGACAATAGGTCTAAAGCGAAAGACGCAATGTGCTGTGAAGTGTCACAGAAACTCTCAGACAAACACACATTCAGAAACAGGTCTCCTAGCCCACCATGTATACCTGCCAACGTGTGCAAGATAGGGATCAATAAATGGAAGGGAGAAAGCACAATAGTGTCAAATCAAATTTTATAGGAATCAGTACAACTTGACTGGGTGGGGATCAAGGGTGAAAAACGATAATTAAAAGTTAAATATATTTAAAAGAAATCGGCGGGCGCGGTGGCTCACGCCTGTAACCCCAGCACTTTGGGAGGGCGAGGGCAGGCAGATCACGAGGTCAGGAGATCGAGACCATCCTGGCTAACATGGTGAAACCCTGTTTCTACTAAAAATACAAAAAAAAAAAAAAAAATTAGCCGGGTGTGGTGGCAGGTACCTGTGGTCCCAGCTACTCGGGAGGCTGAGGCAGGAGAATGGCGTTGAACCCGGGAGGTGGAGCTTGCAGTGAGTGGAGATGCGCCACTGCACTCCAGCCTGGGCGACAGAGCCAGTGAGACTCTGCCTCAAAAAAAAAGAGAAAAAATAGGAGAGGAAATGAATTGGTGGAGTATGTCTGGACAGTATTGAGTTGTAAGGTAATTTAGAACCTGAAAGAGATAAAATGAAATGGAAGAGAAGTGAGACTTAATGAGATATTGCCATAGAACTATTACTAACCACCTAGTTGAGGGAGGAAGTGATGACGCTCTCCTGCAAGGGGTAAAAAGCTGGCCCAACACTTGGGATTGTAAGAAATGTCAACATTTCTCATGTTTTCTGAGAATCTCCATTTTTTAAAAACAGAGCAGCTGAGGCGGGTGGATCACGAGGTCAGGAGATTGAGACCATCCTGGCTAACATGGTGAAAACCCATCTCTACTAAAAATACAAAAAATGAGCCGGGCGTGGTGGCAGGCGCCTGTAGTCCCAGCTACTTGAGAGGCTGAGGCAGGAGAATCTCTTGAACCCGGGAGGTGGAGCTTGCAGTGAGGCCAGATCATGCCACTGCACTCCAGCCTGGATGACAGAGCAAGACTCTATCTCAAAAACAAAAAAAAAAACAAAAAAAAACCCAGAGCCTTATACTTTGTAATTCTTTTTGACATCATCATCTCCCAAAAGGTAAAGGGAGTTGACAAAGAAAAGAGCAACCTCCGACTTAACTGGGAGCAGAAATGAAAACATTGATGTCAAGGTGGATTTGCTAAAGAATTGGGAAAACTGTGTAGGGACACTGGATTTATTTGTAATGCCTCAGCTTAAAGATGGCTTTTTGAAAAAGTTCAAAAAGCAGAACTTGCTATCTGAGAAATGGGATAATCAAAAAATGGAATTCTGTCTTCCAGATTAAAATGGAAACTGGCTGAGTCTTGACCCAGCCTGTCCCAAATTTTTACTAAAATCCACATGAAGATACAGCAGACGAAAACTCATAACAAACAAAAATAAAATTACAGGAAGTATATTTTTAGAATCTGGTTGAAATTTCACTCATACAGCAACTTTTGGATTTGGATTAGGAGAGGGAATATGATAGACAAGAAGATCATGCAGAAGTGAAAATGTTGTACTGTGGGACAAATAGAACTCCGCATTACCGTCTTATCATTTGGTCAAGTAATTAACTTTACTAAGCCCTGTTGTTGTTGTTGTTGTTGTTGTTGTTGTTGTTGTTGTTTAGACAGAATTTCACTCTTGTTGCCCAGACTGGATTGCAGTGGTGCGATCTCGGCCCACTGCAACCCTCCCCACCTAGGCTCAAGTGATTCTCCTGCCACAGGCTCCTGAGTAGCTGGGATTACACACGCTCACAACCACACCCGGCTAATTTTTGTATTTTTAGTAGAGACGGGGTTTCACCATGTTGGCAAGGCTGGTCTCAAACTCCTGACCTCTGGAGAACCACCCTTCTTGGCCTCCCAAAGTGCTGGGATTACAGGTGTGAGCCACCGCACCCAGGCCTAAGCCTAAGATGTTTTTAATCATCTGCAAAATGGGATTCATATAGTATGTTCCACAGAGTAGCCAGGAAGATTAAATTAGAAGAGCTGATTCATGCACAGCACCAAGCACAGTGCCTGACACATAGTAAACATTAAATAAATATTTATGACTTTTTCTCTATTCTTTTGTAAACATGATCTTCAGAGAACAGGAAGTTTCCCAAGGTGGTGGAGAGGAAGTAGGAGGAGGAAGGGCAGCGGCACATAATATCCTAGGAAACGGTGTCTGTTTCAACATTGTAGATGGGGGAGGAAAAAGGAAAAGCAGGGCATCCGGGGCACTGCAGCATGTGCAGAGAACCAGTGGGCAGAGTAGGAAAAGAGCTCCTCTCCAAAGATTTGTACCAGATAGAAACCTGCTGCACAAAAGGAAAAGGGCTGAGTTTGATGCTTGTCAGCCTGATCAAAGGTTGTCAGATAAAACACAGGCAGCTGAATTAAATCTAAATATTACATTATTATAAAATTATTTTAGCATAAATGCAGCTCATGCAATACCCAGGACATACTGATACTTAAAAATTATTAATTATCTGAAATTCAAATTTAACTGGGCATCCTGTATTTTTATTTGCTAAATCTGGCAACCCTAATTTAACCTCTGGCTGCATTTGTTAGGAGGAAGTTTGACTTGCAAAGAAATGGAGAGTGAATGAAGCTGCAGGAAATGCACACACCCTGACACTTGGTAAACGCGGATTGAGTTTGGATCTTTCCTTCTCTTGAAATAAATAGAAAATACACCACCAACAATAGAGGACCTATCAAAAGTTTAGCAGGAGAAGGGGAAAAAGCAATTCTGAAGATTCATGCAATCGGAATTTGAAAATATTAAGTACATAAAGCAGGAGAAAAATGTAGAAATGTTTTCATATCCCCAAGAAGTCTTGTGATCTGGGAGATAAATAAAAAATTTTAAAGGACAAAATTTACAAATCAAGTTAACAAAGTGAGAAGAAGAGGTAGTCAAGGTGACATTCAACAAAAAGCAAAATGTGAATAGCGAAATTGAAAGAATGTGTTTTGGAGGCGACAAGAGCGGAAATGATACTGCACTAAAGCAAATCCTGAAATGGAGTTGAGAATGGAGAAGTATTTCTATTCTCAGAGGAAAGGGGCAAGGAGGTGAAATTGGGAAGAAAAAAGCAGAGATCTGAACACAAATCTTTGGAGATTTGTGGACTGGAGATCCACAAATCTCGAGTGACATGAAATCAGAACAATTACAGTATAAGCAAAAGCAAATACTCAAAACCAGAAAAGGAAGAGAGAGAGGAGATCAAATCTCGAGTGACATGAAATCAGAACAATTACGGTATAAGCAAAAGCAAATACTCAAAGAAAACCAGAAAGGGAAAAGAAAGAGAGGGAAAAAAAAAAAAGAGAGAAGTCCTAGAAAACACTTGCAGGGCACTCAGACTAGGCAGACACTTAGCCTGTGTTAACTTTTTTAACCTTCACAACTTCCCTATGAGGTAGGTACTATGTCAACCCCATTTTACAAATAAGAAAATTGAAAGGAAGCATGTTTTTAACTTTGGCTTTCCTTTAAAAATTTTGTCCAAGGTCACAGGCCTAGTAAGAACAAAGCTGGGACTGAACCCAGACAGCCTGGCTCTAGAGCAAATGGTCTTAATTCCAAAGCTACTTGATATCTAGTGAAAGCATGCCATTAAAATTTGCATATGCAAATTTTTAGCCTTCTCTTTATTATATCAAGGCAACATCAATAAAAAATGGCCACACCCCCAAACTTTCACGGAAATACTTGGCTAGACAAAAAACAATTTTGCAAGCATCCAGGCTGCAAACAAAACAGAACAAAATAAGTTACTTACAGACGAACAAAAATCAGGTTAACCTGAGATTCCCTGCAATGCTAAATGCTAAAAGACAATGAAAACATCTTTCAGAGTTCCGAGGAATGCTGGTTATGGACCAAATTGTATAACCAACCATGTTGTTGCTCATATGTGAAGTCAACAGCACTAAGACATTCCATAACATGAGCAGGTTCAGAAACTATGCCATCATACACCCTTCTTGAAGGGATTAGTTGAAGACACATAATGTATTCTAGCTGATCAGTAGATTAATCAAAGTTAAAAGCTCAAGCTTGGGGAATCTGTGGAAAAGGGGGCTAATGATGAGGAGGAAGGCGGGTAAATACAGAATCGTGGAGTCTAACTTAAAAGGATTATTGAAAATATTGTTTCAAAACTGAACACAAATGTCAATTAAAATGCTTGACATGGAAGATACATGATAAACAAAAGAATAATAAACACAGTCTATATGTGCCAACTCCAAAATTGTATTTTAAACTGAAAGGTAGAAAGAAAACTGACTTGATTCCTCAACTAAACTGCTCGGTTGCAGAGGAAGTAGAGTATTTAGTGTCATTTCTAACTTTGATATTTAAAGAGATGGGAGTCAATGAATGCTTTCAGCCTCTCTAAACCTTATCTCACACCAAGATCTTGCTAGCTCTCTAGGCTCCAGCTACAGTGTATTTTTTTTTAATCTTGCTGTTGGTTTATGTTTAGAATTCTCAAAGCCTCCCTTCTACTGCAGGTCTTTTTCATCAATTATTCCCTCTGGATAGAATACTTCCACCTTGATCATCACCCTCTAGTTAATGAGCTAACACCTACTTATTCTTCATATATCAGGATATATTTAATTTCTCAGGGAATTTTCCAAGATTTTTCATGACAAAGTCAACTTTCTTTGTCATGTGGTGCCATAAAACACATTTCTTTCTTTTGGAGCATCTATGAATGAATAAAAATGGTTTAATTAATGCAATTATTTGATGAATACCTATGTCCCCACTAATCTACTGTCTCACCACAACAGGAACTGGAGCTGTTTTCTCCTTATTTTTGTGCCAGAAGCCTAGCATAGTACCTGCCACATTGGAGGCAATTAGTGTTTGTCGAGTAAATTATAGAAAATATAAAACAAAACATAATCCAAACTATAGAAGACATAAAATAAATCTCAAAGAAGCATAAAAAAACAGAAAGCACAAATGCAGATGATTAAAGAAAGAGTAAATATTTCAGTTATGACATAATACATATATAGGCTAAGCTGCCTCATAGTCAAACACTCCCGAGACAGGGCAAAAATGAACCTACAGTACTGAGCAAGATATTGCAGCATTCAAGGGACAACTTAAAAATGTATCAAAATAAGGCCAGGCGTGGTGGCTAATTGCCTGTAATTCCAGCACTTTGGGAGGCCAAGGCGGGTGGATCATTTGAGGTCAGGAGCTGGAGACCAGCCTGGCCAACATGGTGAAACCATGTCTCTACTAAAACACAAAAATTAGCAGGACGTGGTGGTGCATGCCTGTAATCCCAGCTATTTGGGAGGCTGAGGCAGGAGAATCAGTTGAACCGGAAGGCGGAGGTTGCAGTGAGCCGAGATCACGCCACTGCACTCCAGCCTGGGTGACAGAGCGAGACTCTGTCTAAAAAATATATAAATAAATAAATAAAATGTATCAAAATAAGATTAACATAATTGAGAGTTGAAGATATAGCAGGAAAATGTAAAAAAGGGAAAAGTAGAGCTAGCAGTAATAATTTCAGACAATATAGAAATCAAGTTTTTATAAAAAGATGTATGTAAAAAAGATAAATTGAATGATTTTTTAGAAGACTTTAATTCATATTTCTCAGTCACCAATATGTCACGGAAGAAAAGTGATAGTGATAACTTAAATAATATAAGTATTAAGATGAATTATATACAGTTGACCTTCGAATAACACAGGTTTGAACTTCATGGATCCACTTATACATGAATTTTTTTCAATAAATACATGGAAAAAGTTTTTGGAGATTTGCAACAATTTGAAAAACTCTCAGATGAACCACATAGCTCAGAAATATTTTCAAAATTAAGAAAAAATTAGATATGTCATAATGCATAAAATATACGTAGATACTAGTCTATTTTATCATTTATTAACACAAAGTTTTTACTACTGTAATGATTTCATAGCCACCTCCTGTTGCTATTGCAGTAGTCTCTAGCGTTGCGAGTATCCACTTAAAATACCTTGTAACTGTAATCATCTCCGCATGAACAGTTTGTCTCTCCAGTAAATTGCGTATCACAGTAAAAAGTGATCTCTCTCAGTTTTCATATATTTTTTACTATGTTTAGTGCAATACTGTCAACCATGAATAAAAACATGGGACTCATATGAAGTGCCACCAGTGATGCTGGAAATGCTCCCAAGAAGCAGAGAAAAATCATGACATTACAAGAAAAAGTTGAATTGCTTAATATGTACCATAGATTGAAGTCTGCAGCTATGGTTGCCCACCATTTCAACATAAATAAGGACCACTGTTTAAAAAGAAGGAAAGAAAAGGAAATTCATGAAGCTGTCACTGCAGTCACACCAGAAGGAGTGAAAACCATGCACCTTTTATGAAATATCTTTTTATTTTATATTGAAAATGTGGCTTTTATGTGGGTCCAGAATTTCTATAAGAAGGCATACTATAGACTCTAATACAATTTAAGAAAAGGCGAAGTCATTACATGACAATTTAAATCAAAAGGAATGTGAAAGATCTAAAGCTGGAGAATTTAATGCCTGCAAAGGATGATTTAATCATTTTTGGCTTTTTTTTTTTTTGACAGAGTCTTACTCTGTCACCCAAGCTGGAGTGCAGTGATGCGGTCTGAGCTCACTGCAGCCTCCACCACCCAGGTTCAAGGAATTCTCCTGCCTCAGTCTCTCCTGAGTTGCTGAGATTACAGGCATGTGCCACCACACCCGGCTAATTTATTTATTTATTTATTTTTTTGTTTTTAGTAGAGACAGGGTTTTACCACATTGGCTAGGCTGGTCTTGAACTCCTCACCTTGTGATCCACCCATCTCGGCCTCCCAAAGTGCTGGGATTACAGGCATGAGCCACTGTGTCCAGCAGAGGGTCAGCTTTAAAAATATCAGGATAGGCTGGGCACAGTGGCTCACACCTGTAATCCTAGCACTTTGGGAGGCTGAGGCGTGCGGATCACAAGGTCAAGAGATCGAGATCATCCTGGCCAACGTGGTGAAACCCTGTCTCTGCTAAAAATACAAAAATTAGCTGGGCATGGTGGCACATGCCTGTAGTCCCAGCTACTCGGGAAGCTGAGACAGAAGAATCGCTTGAACCAGGGAGGTGGAGCTTGCAGTGAGCCAAGGTCGTGCCACTGCACTCCAGCCTGGTGACAGAGCGAGACTCCATCTCAGAAAAAAAAAAAATTTTTCAAGATAACAAGTGAAGCAGCTTCTGCCAACCAGAAGGCAGCAGATGAGTACCCAGACTCCACTGAGGAGAAAGGATATCTGCCTGAACAGGTTTGCAATGCAGACGAAAGTGCCCTAATTTGGAGGAAAAAAAGCCACAAAGGACATTTATTAGTAAGGAAGATAGGTAATCACCAGGATTCAAGGTAGGAAGGGATAGGCTAACTGTACTGTTCTGTGCAAAAGCAGTTGGGCATCTGATCAGGACTATCCTTATCTATAAAGCTGCTAACCCTCAACCTTGAAAGGAAAAGATAAACTCCAGCTGCCAGGCATTTGGCTATACAATAAGAAGGCCTGGACAACGAGAACCCATTTTCTGCACTAGTTCCATTAACGCTTGGTCCCTGAAGTCACGAAGTCTACACTAGTAAGGGACTGAATTTTAAAGTTCTTTTGATATTGGACTGTTCCCCTGGCCACCCAGCATCCCAGGAGTTCAACGCTGAAGATGTCCAAGTGGTCTACTTGCCTCCTAACACAGCATCTCTAATTCAGCCTCTAGATCAGGGGGTCATAAGAACTTTTAAGGCACATATACACAGTATTCTATGGAAAGGATTGTCAGTGCTATAGAAGAGAACCCCAATAGAAATAACATCATGAAAGTCTGGAAGAACTACACCATTGAAGATGCCATTGTTATAGAAAGCCATGATGACTTGATGGAGATAAGCACGTTTGAACCAGTGCCAGATAATGAGGAAGAAACGTAGAAGAAGCCGTGCAAGGAAACAAATTGACATTAGACAATCTGGGAGAAAGGCTTAGATTATTCAAGACTGCTTTTGACTTATTTTATAACATGGACCCTTCTATGATACAGGCACTTAAACTAAAGAAAACAGTGGAAGAAGGACTAGAATCCTTACAGAAACATATTTAGATAAATGAAAAAGCAAAAAAACAAAAAGGAAGAAATTATGATGTATTTCCATAAAGTTACACCAAGTATGCCTACCTCTTCTCCCTCCCCTTCCACCTTCTCCACCTCTTTCACCTCTGCTACCCCCGAGACAGCAATACCAACACCTCCTCTTCCTCCTCCTCCTCAGACTACACAACATGAAGTCAATGAGGATGAAAACCTTTATGATGATCCATTTCCTAATGAATGTTAAATGTATTTTCTCTTTCTTATGATTTTCTTAATAACATTTTCGCTTACTTTATTGTAAGAATACAGTATATAATACATATACAAAATATGTGTTCATAGATGGTTTATGTTATTAGTAAGACTTCCAGTCATCGGTTGGCCATTTATAAAGTTTTTGGGGAGTGCAAAGTTATATGCAGACTTTTGACTATGTGGGGGTTGGTACCCCACCAATCTCATGTTTTTCAAGAGCCACTGTATATGTGCATATATAGTTAGTTATATACTGCATTAAACATGAAGGTTTTGCTTAACAACAGAAAATATAATTGCTTTGAATGTTTAATGAAACAATTTTAAACTATAATTATTAACTAGGTCGCAAACACACATATAAAAATGAATAAATGAATATTCCAATAGCCAGATATTGCAGATACCACATTTTCAGTCTATAACGCCAGATAACTAAAAATGCTTTTTACAAGTATAAGTTTTAAATATTTCTCAAACTGAAATTTTAAATATAATTGCTCCAAATTACTACTGGGATGAAGATAAATTTGACAAACTATAAGTATAAGCTATTTTAAGTATTTAAAATGAGAACACCCAAACAAAAAACTTAGGAAGTACAGCCAATGCTGTTTTCAAAAGGAAATGTTAAGTACTAAATGCTTTTTTTCCTAAATGTGAAAGAATTAAAGCATAAAACTATACTAAGAAGAACTAAAGGATGATAACAATAAAAGCAAAAACCTTTGACTTTGGCAACTATTTAAAAGGATATATAAATCAAAGTCCTATTTTTTGCAGAAACAAACAAATGGAGACATCTTTGAAAAAATCTAACTAGTCAACAGATAAAAACTAAATTAATCTTAGAAATTAGAAAAGTATTATAAAACTCACTGTGGTATAGATTTTGGTTTAAAAAAGAGAATGCTGTGAATATATTATACTTTAATAAAATTTGAGCATATCAGTGAAATTGAAAAATTTGGGGGAAATTCCCAAACTGGTTAAAGAAGAAAAAGGGTGAATTAAGCAATAACTACAGTAAAGACTAAAAATCTTACTAAAGATTAAAATTGTCTCCACAACTAAGTTTATATAATTCATTCTCTGAATCTTTCAAAGAATAATTCTCATTTGATCTAAATTATCCCCCAAAAAATAATAGCCTGGGCAACACGGTGAAACCCCATCTCTACTAAAATACAAAAAATTAGCTGGGCGTGGCAGCGTGTGCCTGCAGTCCCAGCTACTCGGGAGGCTGAGGTAGGAGAATTGCTTGAACCCGGGAGGTGGAGGTTGCAGTGAGCTGAGATCACACCACTGCACTCCAGCCTGGGTGACACAGCAAGGCTCCGTCTCCAAAAAAAAAAAAAAATAATAATAATAATAATAAATATAAGAATATAAGAATAAAAAAGAATAATTTGCCTCTCAAGGAGAGCTGGTTTAAAATTTGGAATAATTATTATTACAATAGCTACTTTGAGAGTTGACTTTTTTATACCAAAAAGTGAGAACAAAACCTGAGGAGTCACAAACAGAAACTGAGTGGACATTAGCAGTGAATGTAATGAGAAAAAAGAGAGCCGAGAAGAGCAAAAAGTGGAGGGGGTGTCATTAAATTCTCCTTGGGGAATCTGAGAACTTGGACACAGAAAGGAGGAGGTAACATTTCAGTGTCTACTCTGTAACACAATTCAAGCTACAAGATTTATATGAGTTGTCTGTAAATTCTG
Organism: Homo sapiens; assembly: GCF_000001405.40. Lineage (NCBI taxonomy): Eukaryota > Metazoa > Chordata > Mammalia > Primates > Hominidae > Homo > Homo sapiens. The sequence continues at coordinate 106,449,419 of NC_000009.12, forward strand.
GTAGATGCTTTCATCTCTATCTGCAGAGGAGACTCAGAGACTTTAGGTGATTTGCTCGAGGATCACAAAGGTAGTAAATAGTGAAGCTGAGATTTGAAAACTAGCTTGCCTACTCCAAAGCTTTTCGGGAGGTCAACGCAACATCAAAGTTGGGCAAAGGACAGATTGAGAAGAGAGGTCATTAGTGCAGAAACACTATTTTGTGAGGGGAAAGACAAAATGACATTTCTGGAGAGGCATATTCATGGGCACATCATTCTTTGCATGTGGGGATTTTTGAAGTTTCATGCTCTCTCTTCCAAGGCTAAGTCTGCTTCCTGTTACGGCTGTCAAGTTGTTTTGTTTAGATAGCTAATGCCTGGAACCCAACTGTCTTCCTGTGAGAGGACTACATTATTAACAGTAATGGAAGAAAAAAGGTTTGAATTCTGGGTCCTTATAAAGGCTGTGCAAGTCCTATTTTCTCCAGATCCCCATACCAAGAATCATTCTCCACACTGCAGTCATTTTCTGAGTCTCAGTGTTGGATAGTATGGCTAGAAAAATGCCAGGCCATTTTATAAACAACGTAGTTGTAAGTATAATAGCTGAGATTTAGAGAACATGTTCAGTCATTTAGGATTGTCCTATACTATACTCCTCATGTTCTTTATCCCACTGAATCCTCCCAACAGCCCTAGGTGGTGTGTATGCTAGTCATTAGGGCTGTTCATAAATAATCCGGTTCTTTCCTTCCAGCCATATGCCCTTCTTTACCCTCTTTGAAGTTTAGCATTAGCCTTGTGAAATGTTTTCCAATGTAATGTAAGACGAAGTGACAAATATCACTCTTGGGTAGAAGCTTTATGAGGTATGCTACATTCATTTTTCTTGCCTCACCAATTATGGGACTATATGTCAAGATGAAACTTCCATCAGCCTGGATCCCCATGTGATTATGATGATTAGGGCTCCTCATGTGACTTCCAGTGGCTATAAAGTATGGGCAAAAATTAAAGTTTTTTTCTTTCAAACCTATGTCACATTGTTCTAAAGAGGCCAATATCAATATTTCCCATCTTCATGTTCTTCTTACATGATGACATTGGCACTCTCCCATTGAAAGGTAGGGTCTATGTTCCCTCTCCTTGAATCTGGGACAGTCTGTGACCATGGCAGAATTAGCACTATATAACTTCTGTGTCTGAGTCATTAAATACAGTACAGCTTTCATCTGTTCCTCTTGAGATACTAGCCTGGGAAATCTAGGCTCCATGCTTGTGACAAAGCCAATGGAAAGGTCATGTGTAACTATTCCAGGCACATTCCTAGCTGAGGTCCCAACCAAGAGCCAGCATGAACCACTAGACACTTGCACATGTGAGCCTTCATATGATGCAGTCCTCAGGCTTGGAGCCAGTCCAGGTAATGGAGCAGAGACTGGAGCAGAGACAAGTTGTTCCCACTGAGCTCTCCTCAGATTACAGATTGGTGAGTGAAATAAACATAGTTGTTTTAAGTCATTAATTTTTGGGAATGATTCTTTACAAAGCCATAGATAACTAGAATAAATTTACTAAAACTTTGGAGTTGTTTGTTATTGCAGGAGGGGTGTAGTAAAAATCTGTTCTCCCCATTTTGCAACTGGGGTAACAGAAGTGCAGTGAGGTAAAATAACTGGCCGAAATCACAAGCTTAGGAAAGATTGGCAATACAGAAAAGACAAAATGGAACTAACACTGAACACCTACCCTATGGACAAATTGTACTCTACTCTTTTAAATAGTACTGCATTAGTTCTCAAAACAAAACTGTGAGGAGGATGTGGCATTTCTCCCTGTTTTTCAGACTATTAGCTCCTTGAAGATAGAGACTATAAATTTGCACACTTCCCTTTGTAGTTCCAGTATTGAGCACAATTTCTAATATACTCAAGATCTTCAATTAATGTTTGACAGATTAAATTTAGTTGAACTGAATGGGCTAAACATAAAGAAGGTTTTGGAGGGAGCCCAGTGTTGTACAGTGCTGAATGGTTGACCTCATAGTTAAACTCAGATCTGATTCACTGCAAAGCTTGTGCTTTTTCTTTGTTCTTCTCTTTTCTTTTTCTTTTTTTTCTTTTTTTTTTTTTGAGATGGAGTCTCACATTGTCACTGGGGCTGGAGTGCAATGGCCCGATCTTGGCTTACTGCAACCTCTGCCTCCCAGGTTCAAGTGATTCTCCTGCCTCAGCCTCCCGAATAGCTGGGATTACAGGTGCCTGCCACCAAGCCTACCTAATTTTTTGTATTTTTAGTAGAGGCGGCGTTTCACTATGTTGGCCAGGCTGTTCTCAAACTCCTGATCTCATGATCCGCCCGCCTCGGCCTCCCAAGGTGCTGGGATTACAGGTGTGAGCCACCACGCCCGGCCGTGCTTTTTCTTTATATCACTTCAGGATAGTGAGATGACAGACATCTTCTCCCATGGGTATTGATAAAGTCCTAGAAGTATGCTGTGTGGGTCAGACAGACCACTTTAAAAGTCAGGACAGAATGGACAATTACCCTTAGGCAGAAGAAACAGAGATTTGGATACTTCTGTGTGGCTATAGGTTCTGTACAGAGCATTTGTTCAACATTCAGCCCATCTCAACAGAGTAGACTTTGAGGAATAAAAGTTGCACTTCACTAAGCATTTGTGAGGCCATTGGCAATATAGGAAGCTAACAAAATGTTAATAATAATGTCTGATCTCCAGTGTAGTTAGGAAAATGGACTTTGATTTTTGAATGAATGGCCTCCTTTTTCTGATTTGTCCTCATATACGAAGACAGTGGAACTAGAGCACTCATTGGACTGTGTCTGTATTTTGTTGTACTTCCATTCAACAATATAATTCTTATTCATATGATTTGATAACACATTTGAACACAACCTTTTGAGATGAAAACCTAAGAGCTGACACAAATATGGTGAGGAATGAAATATATTCACCAACTATATAAACATATCTACCCATTGCCCTTCTACCAGGTTGATAGTATGATCAAACGGATGACCATATGATCCCAAAATAAAACAACTATAGGGTATTTTTTCTTCATCTAGAACTAAATCATTGCAAAACACTTGAAAAATTAACAATAATCTGAGCAAGAAAATAAAAGTCACATGTAATCTCACCATCCAGATGTGGTCACTCTGAAGCCTTTTTGCTAGGTGTATTTCTTGCTTATGGTAGTATACGTATACAAGTATACTTGTATTTGTGCAGGCAATTTTTAAAAGGTTTTCTGATGAAGGTATATAGAAGTGTACACACACACACACACAAGAATACAAGTCTTATGTGTACAGTTCTAGGTATTTTTTCAAAGTCAACGTCCCCATGTAACCACTTTCCAGATAAAGATATAAAATATTACCAGCGCCTTAGAAACTTTGCTCCTACTCCCTTCTGAGTTCACCACCTCCTCCCACAAAGCAACCAGTATTCTGACTTCTATCATTAGAGTTTCCTGCTTTGAAATTTATGTAGATGGAATCAAATAAGTTTTAGTCTTTGGGATCTAACCTCTTTCTCTAGCATAATGTTTGTGATATTCTTCCATACTACTAGAAGTACTTGTAGATTATCCATTCTCATTGTTGTATACTTATCCATTGTATGAATATGCCAAAAATTAATTATCCATTTAACTGTTGATGAACATTTGCCTACTTTCCATTTGAGGGCCATTAAAAATAATTTTTGGTTACATGTCTTTTGATGAATATGTACGCACACATCTGTGGGTGTATACCTGAGAGTAGAATTGTGGGTTTTTGTTGTTGTTGTTGTTTGAGACGGAGTCTCTCTCTGCTGCCAGGCTGGAGTGCAGTGGCGCAATCTCGGCTCACTGCAACCTCCGCCTTCAGGGTTCAAGTGATTCTCCTGCCTCAGCCTCCTGAGTAGCTAGGACTATAGGTGTGCGCCACCATGCCTAGCTAATTTTTTGTATTTTTTTTTTTTATAGAGACGGGGTTTCACCATGTTGGCCAGGGTGGGCTTGATTTCTTGACCTCATGATCCACCCGCCTCGGACTCCAAAAGTGGTGGGATTACAGGCATGAGCCACAGCGCCCAGCCAAGAATTTTTAACTCATAGGGCAAAATATGTTCAGTTTTTGCAGATACTGTCAAACATTTTTACAAATAATCACATTGATTTACACTCTACCCCACAGCTTCATTCCCTGGCAGCATATGTGAGTTCTTATCACTCTACCCCCTTGCCCAAACCAAGTGTTTTAGTCTTTTTCATTTTAGCTGTTATGACAAGTATGTAGTGGTTTTCAATGAAGAGTTTTAATCTTTCACTTATAGCTAATTGTATTAGCTTCCTAGGGATGCTATGACAAATTACCACAAACTGGGTATCTTGTAACAACAGCAATCTATTGTCTCACAGCTCTGGAGGCTAGAGGTCTGAAATCAAGGAACATGGTAGAGTCATGCTCTCTCTGAGGATTCTAGGGAAGGATCCTTTCTTAGCTCTTCCTAGCTTCTGGTGGTTGCCAGCTATCCTTGAGAATCCTTAGCTTGTAATCACTCCAATCTTAGCCTCCCTTGTCATATTGGCATTCTCCCTGTGTGTTCTGTGTGTCCAATTTTCCCTTTTCTCATAAGGATACAAATCACTGGTTTAGGGCCCACCTTAATCCTGTATTACCTCATTTTAACTGATAACATCTGCAAAGACTCTGTTTCCAAATACTATCCTATTCATGGGTTTAGGACTTCCACATATCTTTTTGAGGGACAAAATTCAATCCATCACATTAATTTATGGGGTAATTTTTCTATGATTTTGGGCCATTTGCAGATCTCCTTTTCTGGAATATTCATTCTAAACACTGGGTCATTTTAAAAATTGGATTGTCTCATTTGCTTATTGATTCATGTGATTTATTTATATTTTCTGTATACAATGTATTGCTTATGAAATTGTATTGACTTTTATCAAATGGTTTTTTGAATTATTTTCCTACTTATGCAACTAATGTAGTAAATTAGTCTGATATTTGAATGCTAAACCAATCTTAAATTTCTGAAACAAACCCAGTTGGGTTGTAATGCATTACCATTTTTATATATAACTGGGTTTATCTTCAAATATTTTGGTTAAGATTTGGTTAGTATTTTTGCAGCCAGGCGTGGTGGCTCTCACCTGTAACCCCAGCACTTTGGGAGGCCAAGGCAGGTGGATCACCTGAGGTCGGGAGTTCAAGACAAGCCTGGCCAACCTCATCTCTATTAAAAATACAAAAAATTAGCCGGGTGTGGTGGCAGGCACCTGTAATCCCAGCTACTTGGGAGGCTGAGGCAGGAGAATCTCTTGAACCTGGGAGGTGGAGGTTGCAGTGAGCCAAAATTGTACCACTGTACTCCAGCCTGGGTGACAGAGTGAGACTCTGCCTTAAAAAAAAAAAAAAAATGCAATTATGCTCATGAGACAAATTTGCCTATAATTTTATTTTATTGTAATGTTCTTGCCAGGTTTTCATATCAAGAATATACTGACTTTCTATTCTCTGGAATAAAGAATACATTGACTATTCTCTGGAAGATTTTTAAATTTGTATTATTTTTCCTCCTTAATTGATTTTAGGAATTCATGTGTAAAGTCATTTTCATTGAGTTGTTTTTTTTTTCCTTCTCCATTTTTTTGGTCTATTTTCTTTTCCTTTTCCTTTTTTTTTTTTTTTTTTTTTTTTTTTTGGAGACAGAGTTTCGCTCTTATTGCCCAGGCTGCAGTGCAATGGCATGATCTCGGCTCACTGCAAACTCGGCCTCCCAGGTTCAAGCAATTCTCCTGCCTCAGCCTCCCGAGTAACTGGGATTACAGGCACGCACCACCATGCTAGGATAATTTTGTATCTTTTGTAGAGACAGGGTTTCTCCATGTTGGTCAGGCTCGTCTTGAACTCCCAACCTCAGGTGATCTACCCATCTCAGCCTCCTAAAGTGCTGGGATTACAGGCGTGAACCACTGTGCCCAGTCTTTTCTGTCTATTTTCTATCAGTTACTAAGATATATGTGTTAAAAACTACATAATTGGGAATTTTTGTTTATTTTACTTATGTTAGTTATTACTTTGTATCTTTTGATCTTATGTTATTAGATGCGTATAAATTTAGAACTATTACATCTTCCTTTTAAATCAATCTTCTTTAGTGAAATATTACACTTTATCTCTACTAATACTTCTTGCTTTCAAAATGACTTTATTTGATTTTACATAGGTGTATCAGCCTTCTGTGTCTTTATGCTTTAAGGCTTGTCTCTTATAATCAACATATAGTTTATTTTCTGCATTCAATCTGAGAAACATAGGTTTTTAATTGTAATATTTAGTTCATTTGTGCTTAATACATCACTGATATATTTGGGTTTAAATATATTATTTTTATTTATTTTCTACTTGTCCTTTTCAGTTTTTGTCTCTTTTTTTTATTGTACTAATTATTTTTAAAATTATTGTATATTCTCTTCTTTTTGCATATATACTTCTTTTATTATTTTTTAGTGGTCATCTTACAGATTTCAGTATGCATCGTTGGCTTATTAATGTCTCTCTTAACTTATATCATTTCCTGAACAATGCAAAAATTGAACAAAACTTTAGTTCTATTCACTCTCTTTCAATCCCTTTCCTGTTGAAATATACTTTACTCATGCTTGTTTTCATTTTTCCTGAATTATCTGCTCCCATCTGGAATAACATTTCTTCTGTCTGAGGAACTTTCTGTAGTATTTCTTTCAGTACGGTTTGGCCGGTGATGAATACTGCCAATATTTTTTGATGTGTGAAAATGTCTTTAGTTCACCCCAATTTTTGAGGGATATTTTTACTAGGCATAGAATTTTAGATTGGCAGTTATCTTTCAGCCAATTAAAGATTTTATTGCAGTGTTTAATACCTTCCATCATTTATAGTGAAAAGTCAGCTGTGGCTCTTATTATTGCTACTTTAAAAGTAGTATGTCTTTTCCCCCTCTGGTTGCTTTTCATTTTCTATTTGTCTTTTATTGGATGCTGTTTTTCTATGATATACCTACATATGTTTTCTTTTTTTTTTTTTAATTTAGAGAATATATTTTGCCAAGGGTAAGGACTCATGCCTGGGAGGTAAGTCTGTTCTTCCTCCAAAGATGATTTTGAGGGCTTCAATATTTAAAGGGGACAGGGTGGACACTGGGGAAAGAGGAAGAAAGTTTTTGAAGGTGTGGGTAGAGAAGAGACACACAGTTGCATTCTTTTGAGTCTTCGATCAGCGTTTCACCAAATACATGATTTACATGTGAAAGTGAGTAGAGGAATAGTAACTTCTGGCTTTGTCTAGCTCAATGAATCTGCATTTTTAAATCAGAGGAAGTAATCAGATATGCATTTCTCTTAGGTGAGCAGAGGGTCGACTTAGAGTTCTGTCCTTTGTCCCATACCTTTGAAGGTAAGCTAACAATTTACATCGTCAGGGTAAAATTCAACAGTACCATTTTAGGGTAAAGATCTTGAAGTACACAAGGAATTTCCTAGTGAGAAAATTGTGAAGGAGGTATATAGCTTTTTTTTTTTTTTCTTTTTGTAGCTATCTTATTTAGGAATAAAATAGGAGGCAGGTTTGCCTGACACAGTTCCCAGCTTGACTTTTCTCTTTGGCTTAGTGATTTTGAGATCCCAAGGTTTACTTTCCTTTCCCATTTCCTCCCTTTTCTTTTTAAAATAGGTCATATGTTTTCTTTGTGTTTGTCCTACTTCAGGTTTATAGGGTTCTTCGAATCTATGACTTGTCATTCCTTAACAGTTCTGGAAAATTCTCAGCTAGCATCTTTTCAAATATTGTTTCTGTTAATTTTCTCTCTTTTCTCCTCTGAGACTTCATTTGTGTGTATATTAATTTTCTTCAGCATATCCCATATATTATGCTGTTTTATATATTTTTGTTTTATTTATCTGTGCTTCAATCTGTATATTTTGTATTGACCTATGAGCTGTTTATTAATTTCCCATCTGCTTTCCTTTGTTATGTTAAAGCAATCTTCTTTTATGTTCAATCTTTGAATTTTTATTTGGTTATCTTTATAAATTCCGGTTCTTTACTAGAATTCTCCACATATTTATCTATTTTTTAACCATGGTAAACACAGCTATTTACAGTTCATGTTAGATAAGTCTAATTGCTAGATTACCTTTAGATTACCTTTAGGTTTTTAATGCAAATTATTGTCTTTTTGGGGAAGACAGGTGGTCATTTGGTCCAGTGTCCTGGCATACCTAGTAATTTTGGATTGAGTGTTGGACATTTTGTTTTAAAAATTCTGAAGGCATTGAATGATTTTCTCTTCCTTCAGAAATGATCTTTCTTCTTTTGTGTATGGATAGATTACCTCAGTCCAATCAGGGAGTAAGATAGTTTGAAGCTGTGAATGGTTTACCAGGACCCCTTCTCCTTGAAGTTTAATTATTTTACCAGCGTCGAGTCTAATGAAATCACTGTTTAGCCTTCTGACTCCTTAGAAGATGTTTTATACTATCATCTATACACACTTTGACACTGGCAAATGCCTCTAGAAGAAATTGTGCTCAGAATGCTGGGTTCAGTTTTCTGTTTCTCTTTCCACCATAATCTTGGTCCTTTAACTTCTGACTGCATTGGTAGGCCTAAACTTTGATTTTGTTTTCCTCACCAATTAATACTGCCATAATATGTACTCTTCCATTTTATTTGTTGATCCTATGTCCTCATAGCAAATGGGCAAATGGTCCAAAGAGAGAAAGTGGCAAAAATGTACATACAGTTTATCTCAGTTTCTTTCATTTCTCTCTGGGATCTTGGTTTGTCAAGCCCTGGATACCTTGGTTAATCTCCCTCAAATAGCTGTTTTTCTATCTAGCAACTGTAGATAGTTGTTCCTTGTGGCAAGGTTAGTCTGATACAGGCTACTCCTTCATGGCCAGAAATTAACATCTTGCATTTAATTTTATAATCTATGTTTTCCACCAAATGATAGATTACGAGAATGTTCTATGTTATTGAAAAATATTTTAAATGTAACCTTTAGGGGCCATGTAACATGCTACTGTAATGAATAGTCACAACTGACAATACCAATTCTCTGATATCGACTCTTCAGGATACTTCCAATTTTTTTTTTAATTATTTGAGATTATAAGAGGACTTTTTGATATGTCTCTCTAAGTAAGCTTTTTGTTTTGTATGTAGAAGATTGCTTCTGATGTATGATATAAAATAGGTACATATGGGCAACTGCTAAAATTTGTGTGCCAAAAAAATGGAAAGTTTATATGCAATAAGCAAATTCTACATTAACTTACTTCAAAGATTAATCTGTTATTCAGAAGAAATTGGTGGATTCACTATGAGTGATATAGTTTCTGGTTTAAATCTAAATTTTAATCACTTTACTACCTGATAGACCCAGGGCAAATTACTTAGCCTCTCTGAGCCTGTTTCCTCACCTCTTAAAGACAAATAATAACATGTAGCTGACAGAGTTGTTGTAATTTTTAAATAATTACCTATTTATGTGTCTATATGCACTAGAAACTCCCCAAGGACAAGGCTCAGGCATTCATTCATTTCCATTCAAAAATATTTATTGAGCAACTATGGCATGGGGCATTGTGGATATATAGGTATAGACAAGTCAAGTAAGTCTATGCTTATATGAAGTTTATGTCACAGAGATGTTGAAACAGACAATAAACAAATGTGTGATATAATTTTAGGTTATTACTAGTATTTTGAAGAAAAGCAAAGCAGAATCGAGGCTAGAAAGTGATTGTGGTGATGCTGCTACTTTGAAATAATCGTCAGGGAGTTTTCTCTGAGGAAAGAACTTTGAGTTGAGATGTATGAAAGCAAACCACGTGGAAACGTGAGGAAGAGATTTACAAATAGAGGGTACAGTAAATGCAGATGTCTAGAATAGAGAAGCTTCATAGGTTCATGAAAAAGGGAGAAAGTCAGTGTAATGGGAATGGAATGAATGAGGAGGGTACCAGGAAGGGAGGTAGGCAGGGGCCAATTCAGGTAGGATTGTGTTGGCCATGATTGATACGAAATCATTGTGGAGTTTGATCAAGGGAGACATGTGGTTTTACTTTTCCACATTCAAACATGCACTTTTGCTGGTATATGGAGAATAGTCCAGAAGGACCAACATAGAAACAGGGGCTACTGCAGTCTTCTTTATTTTAAATCCCCAATATCCAATATAATGGCTGGTGCATACTTGTGAACAATTAATTCGGGGTTTTTTTTTTTTTTTTGAAAGGACATTTGGGCTAGGGAATGTACAACAATCTCAAAACTGTTGAACTATGAGCTCACTTTTGAACTATGAGCTCACTGGTGGGTATAGCACAAAGCAGGGACAACCAGACTACTTTTTCAGTTAAGTGAGGTTCATTCAACAGCATTTTGAATAACAAAGTTCACAAATAGACAATGAATTGTCAGGATTTTCAAATAATTTTGAAAAAGAACATCAATCAATAACTATCCAATATGGCCTTAAAATTGACTGTCTGATGAACCAGCAGTAATAAACAGCAAGAGCTTCCTATTCTTGCTTCAAAGCAGGAAGAAGGAGGTTGGTAGTAAAACCCTGCTCCAGATTTCTAGCTGTGAAAAAATATGAGCATTTTTTATCATTTCAAACCTTCAAATTCTTGAGATCTCTTAAAAAATGCTTTTGTGAGTAAAACAAAGACACATTTCCTTATAAATCCAGAAAACACAGGAGCTATTAAGCTTGAGAGCCCCTTTTAAGTCACGCCATTGCCAGGACTCTAACTCAGGTTGGATACCATATGTGGCTGTTCTTAAGTGGTCACTGTAAAATGTCAGAGGTTTGAGAAATAGGTATTCAGGTGTTTGGAGAAACAAATAATCTGTACTCAGAGGTACTAGAAATAATTCCCTTAAGAAGCTTAATAATTCTCATCAATGGAATGGTTTTTGGCTTCTCTAGTATCTCTCGTAGCATTAGTCAGTGCTAATTTATTAGTAATAAATATTGACTGAACAAAATTCTGATCCAGGAATACAGCAGTAAAGTACTAGGATCTCCAGAACATTTATTCATTTGTTCATGAGAAATATTGTGAAACAATTTCAATGTATGACATACTGTGTTAGACAGTAGAAATATAAATATGAAAAAATAGTCTAGTGAGAAATCAGCCATTTTAAAAAATTATAAAAACAATGGGTTAGATGCCAGAATGAAAGATTCTGTTATAACGGATGATACAGTTAAATGGAAGTTCTGAAATTGGCCTCGGATGCTTACCAGATATATGGGTGGTATCAAGCACCTACAGAGAGAGTAGAAACCCTTGTTATATAAAGAGGGCCCTTATCTTGTCCTAATCCTTGTGCTTTTACCTTGGGCCACAGACTGTGCTCCTCCTCTCTCACTCTTCTTTACCCACTGGCTTTTGATTCTCACATGTGTATTCTTCAATATAAACTTTTGAGTGATTTCACCAAGTTCAAAAAATAACTCCATTGTGATTTTGACTGTCATTTTCTTAGTCCTATACCAAAATTTGGAAGAATTTGTACTCTTGAAATACTAAAGATAATAATAGTATAGGAGGACAATCTGCCTCCCTATTATTTAAATCTTAATTTATATTTCTCAGGGTAGTTTTATAGGTTTTGTTTACTTTATTCCTAAACATTGTTCATGAAGATTAGTCTTAGGGTGTTTTTTGGCAGGGGAGGCTCAGGATGAATTGAATACTTTTTGTATTTATATTTCTAATTAATACTGTTTGCTATATAGGGAAACTATTGAATTTTTAAAATGTATCTTATATTTAATCACTTCCTTAAATTTTCTAATGGATCTTAAATTTTTTTCAGTTGATATTCAAATTGTAGCAAAAACAACAAATGGATTTACTCCTTCATTGTTCTGTTGAATGTTCTATTTTGGCAGCCCCAATTTCCAGAACAAAGATAAAATGCCAAGGGGCTGATCCAAGGAGAAACTCTACTTTTGCCTCAGGATTTTTCAGAGCTTGTCCCAGAACTGATTGAGGCACTTTTCTTTTGTCATTGACTTTGACATGCCTAATTGCTCCTTTTCAGTTGAGAATGACTGTACCATTAGCTATGGAAGGTCTATGTCTAGTATGTGCCGGGACAATGGCTGCCACCTTGACCTACAAATTCTAGTCAAGTGTTCTTCCCTTTACTCCCTTTCTCCCAAACTCCTGGATTCAATAGACATTTTCTCAGCGCCTATCACTGTAATGAGCCAAGTCCTAAGGCTTTAAAGATGTTAGATCTTACCTTGAAGGTACTAACAGCTAAGGACAGCCAATGGTATTTCTCTTGTGAGTTCCATACAACATGTACATCCAACCACCTGATTACCATCATCTCTTAAATTTCCCACAGAAATCTCAAACCTAATATTCCTATAACAGAAATCTTGATTCTGTCATCAAACCCACTCCCCTTCTTTATACATAATACCAACTTACATTATGTTGTTCAAGCAAGAAACCTGGAAAATTTTCCTGATTTCTTCATTCTCTTCATCAACTTCCCACTCTCATTCCATCCGTCTGCAAGTACTGTTGAGTTAATACCCAACATGTTTTTAAAATCTATCTGCTTCTCTTTATCTATACTGTCACTACATTGGTTCATGACACAATAATCTCTTGCTTGAATTACTATACCAGCCTCCTAACTGGTTGCTTCACTTCCATGTCTACCCAGCATGATTTCATCATCCAATAACAGCCATATACATTTTTTTTAAACTTAGACTTAAATTTCATCATTCCATCACTGCTTTAAACATTTAAAGGTCTTGGTAATTTCACTAAAGTATAAATCTTTTACTATAGTCCAGGGTCCTCTGTGAACTTGTCCTTGCCTATCACTCCATTTCATCTCACATTACTTTTCCTTTCCACGGTACGCACCCCAGCTATACTGGATTTTCCTCGGTTCTTCAAACAGGCCTTTGCAGATACCATTCCATCTGCCCAGATTGTCTATTTCTCTACTTGTCACATGGCTAATTGCTTCTCATCCCTTACATCCATAGTCTTCAAATATTTTTGATTATCATGGGGCAAAAACATTGAACCTGGCCAGGTGAGGTGGCTCCTGTCTGTAATCTCAGCACTTTGGGTGGCCGAGGTGAGTGGATCACTTGAGGTCAGGAGTTCGAGACCAGACTAGCCAACATGGTGAAACCCCATATCTACTAAAAATACAAAAAAATTAGCTGGGCATGGTGGTGGGTGCCTGTAATCCCAGCTTCTCGGGAGGCTGAGGCAGGAGAATCGCTTGAACCTGGGAGGCAGAGTTGCAGTGAGCCAAGATCATGCCATTGCACTCCAGGCTGTGAAACAGAGCAAGACTCCATCTGAAAAACAAAACAAAACAAACAAAAACATTGAACCTGTACTACTAAATTAACTATATTTATTTATTTATAATATATATACAAGTACTCCTTTGCTAACATATTATTTTCATTATGAAATATACACAAATATAGATGCATAACATAAGTATTAAAGATAAGATAATATTTAAATAATTATTTTGCTTCATTAATAATACATTGTTAAGGATATTTGGTACAAATTTATGTTTTAAGTCATGTACATATGACTATCATTTCACTCCATAAAGAAGCATAAGAAGATCTTATACTAAAAATAGATGTCTCAGTTGCTGTTTTATTGTTGCTTGGATTTGCCTTATTATGATTATTTTTTATCCATGGTTTCTTTGGAAGAAACTATTAAAGCTGTCTGTCAATTTTGACAGTCTTCATTTATTGAAAACTAGATAATATAATCTGAAAATTTGCTTAACCAGGCATTTACATATACTGCTATACATAGCGTTATGTATTACTATCATGGAAAGAGAAGGAACAAGTGAGGTGCTGCTGTCTTTTTTCTCCCTCAACATTGTGGAATTCCATTTTCTCTCTCCAGAGACTCAAACCGTGTGACATGTGGTCACATGAAAAATCCTGAGGCAAAAGTAGAGTTGCTCCTGGGATCAGCCTCTTGGCCTTTTATCTTTGTTCTGGAAATTGGGGCTGCCAAAATAGAACATTCAACAGAACAATGAAGGAGTAAATCCATTTGTTATTTTTGCTACAATTTGAAATGTGTAACATGTGGTCACACGGTTTGGTCCCACAGATGACATATGACATCTGACAAATGCATAGGGAGGAAAAAAGAGAGATAGAGAGAGAACATCGGTAGATATTAGTAGAATTTAACTTCTTATTTTTTGATTTTAAAAATATCAATTGAGGTTAACATTTTTTCTACATCTTAGTAGGTCTCTGACACAGTCTTTTGTCAGTGAGTCCTCTTTCTGGAGACCACTACTTAATTTATCAGCTTAAATGTTACCTCCTCAAGATGCCTTTCATGACCACCTACCTGAAGCAGGTCCTGTTATTCCTGCTGCATGTGCTTCTTTACAATTATTATGATATTTATGCATATATATTTTTGTCTATAATATGCAGTTGACCCTTGACCAACATGGATTTTTATCCACTGTAGGTCCACTTACACACAGATCTTCTTTCATCTCTCCCACCCCTGAGACAGCAAGGCCAACTCCTCTTCTTCCACCTCCTCCTCAGCCTACTCATCGTGAAGACAATAAGGAGAAAGATCTTCATGATGATTCACTTCCACTTAATGAATAGTAAATACATATCCTCTTCTTCATGATTTTCTTAACATTTTTTCTCTAGCTTACTTTATTATGAGTACAGTATAGAATATATATTACATACAAAATATATATTAATTGACAGTTTTTGTTATTGGTAAGGCTTCCAGTCAATAGTAGGCTATTAGTAGCTAAGTTTTGGGGAAGCCAACATTTATACATGGATTTTTCATGTTCATAGGATCAGCACCCTTAACCTCATGTTGTGGAAGGGTTAACTCTTTATTTTTATATTTATGTTATTTAAACATTTATAATCATTTAATTGTCTGCCAGCTTATTTTTGTTTGTTTGCAGACACCACAATAACAGAAAGACTCCATTTTCTTTTAATATTTATCCCCAGCCATCAATACAGTTTGGGTCTCTGTAAATATGTATGAAAGTTCAACAATTCTCAATTGCTGTTTGATGATATGTTGATCATGATGTGAATAATTGTAAGGTAAATGGCAAATCATTTGTTATTAATACAATTTAAAGAAATATCACTTGTAAATGGTTTTTAATTTTAATTAGGAAGAGCTGAAGGTAGCTCTATAATAATATTACTTTTGGTTGTATTCACGTATCATATCCAAAATGGAGGAAAATATGTAGAATTTCACCTGGTGCCAGAAGAAGAGTGCATCATCTAGAGCTCATTTTGGGTGTATCCCATCTCATTCTTTGTAGTCAAAGTAAACTTCATCTTTCCTGCACATCATGGGGCAGCACAGGTTAAGAATCGGTGACCACGGGTGCCATGGCTCACTTCTATAATCCCAACACTTTGGGAGGCCTAGGCGGGTGGATCACTTGAGGTCAGGAGTTTGAGACCAGCTTGGCCAGCATGGTGAAACCCCGTCTTTCCTGAAAATACAAAAATTAGCCCGGTGTGGTGGCACATGCCTATAGTCCCAGCTACTTGGGAGGCTGAGGCAGGAGAATCTCTTGAACCCAGGAGGTGGAGGTTGCAGTGAGCTGAGATGGCACCACTGTACTCCAGGCTGAGTGACAGAGTGGGACTCCATCTCAAATTAAAAAAAAGAAATTGGTGACCAGTGGGCACTGTGTTGGGCACCTAGAATGGCAGCTTCTTAGGAAGCTAAGGCACTAGAATCGCTTGAGCCCAGGAGTTTGAGGCTGCAGTGAGCTATGACTGTGCCTATGAATAGCCACTGCACTCCAACTTGGGCTGCACAGTGAGACCCTGTCTCTAAAGGAAAAAAAAAAAAAAAGAGATAGTGATTTACAGAGAGAGACATATGTACAGTATGGTCCATGACAGATAGAAGTGTGGATGAAGTGCTATGGAAAAAACAGAAGTATCCCCTAATCGCTTTTTGTCTCAGCAAATCTCAGTGGAGGAAATGCCTTAGAAATAGACAGACCTTGGTTCTAGTCCTGTCTCTGTAATCTACTAGTGGGATGTCCATGCACACAGCTTTTATACTCTGAGCCTCAGTTCCCACGTATCCAAAAATGACAATAATAAAATTCCTCAAGCCCTCCTGGCCTCAGAGGATTGCCATAAGAATTAAATGAGGCAGTCTGTAAAAAAACAGTTGGGTAACCTTAAAATAATATATAAATGTTTTAATCAAAACTGTTTTCAGTTGCCCCACTGAGCTAAATTCAGGTCAATTTAAGGAATATTTTATGAGCATTTATTATGTTTCAGACATTATGCAAAGAACCTGGGACACAGAGTAGACATAGACCCTACCCTCAAGCTCTACCTTCTAGTGGGAGCAAGAGACACATGTACAGATAAATATAACAGAATGTGATCCATGCAATGAGAGACATGTATTATTATAGTCTAGAACAAAGAGAAGGGAAACAAGACTGATGAACTCTGTTGTGTTGGAAGGATTTAAGCCTCAATGAAAGTTCATAAGGGAAGAAAAGTCTGAGCAGTGTTTTGAAGACATTTGGGAATAGCGGAAGGGTTTCCAGGCAGAGGAAATAGTAGGTGTCAAGGGATAGAGCCCTGAAGGCTTGGACCAGAATTTTCTTTCTCCTTTGTGTGTGTGTGTGTATGCGTGTGTGCATGTGTGTGTGTGCGTGTGTGTGTGTCCCTGTGTACATTCACAGGAAAATGGTAGATAAGATGGCAAGTAATATAGTTTGGATATGTGTCCCTGCCCAAATCTCATGCCAGCTGTAATCTCCAGTATTGGAGGTAAGGCCTGGTAGGAGGTGATTGGATCACAGTGGGATAGATTCCTTATGAACGGTTTAGCACCATCATCTTGGTGCTGTTCTCGCAATAGTGACTTCTCACAAGATGTGGCTGTTTACAAGTGTGGAACCTCATGCTCTCTCTCTTGCCCCTGCTCTGCCCTGTGAGATGTCAGCTTCCCCTTCACCTTCTGCCATCATTGTAAGCTTCCTGAGCCCTCTCCAGAAGCCGATGCCAGCACCATGCTTCCTGTACAGCCTGCAGAACCATGAGCCAATTAAACCTCCTTTCTTCAAATTACCCAGTCTTAGGCATTTCTTTATAGCAATGCAATAAACATTAGACTGGCCTAGCATAAGAGAATCTCAGAAGCTCTCTGTGGTTCCAGAATAAAATAAATGCAAGAGAGGTCGCAGATCAGACAGGAGCAGTAGAGGGAGTTTGAGAGGTTGGGAAAAATATTACTGACTTATCCATAATAAGTATTTAGGCCTGTTGGTGCATTTGCTTACAAACTCTGGTCCCTTTTATTATTAACTCCATTATCCAGATGAAGAAACAGATTAAGTAAGGGTAAATGGCTAGCCCAAGATCACATCGCTAATAAACTGAGGAGCCTGGATTCACACCTGGCTCCAGGATTTGAACCCAGGTGCTTATTCTCTACCGAGAAGGCTGAGTTAAACTACAGCCAGCATTTAAGACCTGCTTTAGTATGTGGGGAAAGTCATATGACCCCAGATCATTGTAAACAAAGTAGCAGAGTTCATTTTCATCCCTACCATGCCAACTTCTGGAAATGTTTTTCTTTTCTGATCCCTGACCGGGTCCTCTTAACCTTGCATTACAAAGTCGTGTTTCTCTGTGCTCTTCCAAATGGAGCTGAGCCTTTCAGCCCAAGAGGAGACACGGGCTTTTTTCCTTCAATAAGCTCATGAGCCAAATTGCTAAGAGCTTCTTTCTCCTTTCCATTACTGAATGCAGCATTGCTAATTGACCAGGGGAAGTTCTATGAAGACCAAGTTTACAAGCTCACTTCCTGTAACATTCCCCACCCCACCCCCATTCCCTTGCAGGCATCAGCCTGGAGCTTGGAGCCCCCTCCCCTTGGAATCCAGGCAGCCAGAGCTGTGGAAACCTATAGGGTTCCCTCTGAATCTGGTCTTTGCACAGTAACAACCTCATTGAGTTGCGACCTTGCCTGCATAGGTCACCATGTGATGAACCTATGATTAACCTTATTCTCAAATCAGAATTTTGATCTAATCTCAGGGGCGGCATGGTTAACACGTATGGACTTTTTTTTCTGTAGAGCTGGAGATCTGAAATGTAACAGCCTCAGCTAAGCCAAGCACCAGAGGAAAACCGCAGAGTTCATGTTACATATGTTAGGCTTCGTGTGTGTGTGCTGCAATTCTCAACAGGCTCAGGCTGACCTTGGGTGGTGGAACAGCTACCTCCAAAGAAGGCTCTTCTCTCCCATGGCCTTGCCATGCAAAGGACACAGACACAGCAGTGTGTATTTTGCTTGGTTGTACTGGAGCATAATCACAATTTGTAGGCAGGCTGGAAGTGGCCACCCCAGAGCTGAGAGCTATGGAGAACATTCATTTCTGCCACCGCAGACAGCTCAGCCACAGATATGGATGATGAAAGGGAACTTGGCATTGACCTTGCTGCTTTTCAAGGAGCAGATGGGACCTGGAGTCTGGTTAGCAAAGAAAAATGAACTGAGCCTCCTTGATAGTATTTGAAGAACAAGAGCTGGACCCAACTGTCTCTTCCTCCCTGGTGTGTGTGTGTGCATGTGTGTGTGTGTGTGTGTGTGTGTGTGTGTGCATGTGCCTATGTACACACACCAGCTGTGTCTGACGTGCAAGAGAAAGACAAACACCCTTGTCCATGCTGGAGCTCCCTATTGCACATTTGGCATTTGACTGACATATAAAACTCCCATGGAGATCAAAAGGACAGTAACTCAGAATGCATAAGAGATTTTTGCTATTGATAAGAAGACAGGTGGAGAGAAAAATATTATTGACACTAATTTTCAATCTTTCTATTATTATTATTATTATTATTGCCCAGAGGAATGGAGTCTGTCTCAAGTGAGTGATGCAAGAGGTGAAAAATAAAGCTGATGTAGCCAACTGTATGAGACACACCCTGCCCAGCTCATCAGAGTGTACCATTGTCCTTTTGTTTTTGCTCATGTTGAATTCCCCTGCCAGAAATGTTCTTACTCTCCCATTTCCCACCTGGTAAATTCATTTCATCTTTCAAGTCCCAGTTGGACTTTCACTTCCTTCAAAAAGCCTTCTCTGATTTTTCTCTACCCAGCACAAGTCATTTGTTTCTCTTGCTTGTAAATTTCTTGAGTGGGGGAAGGCTAACACATAGTAGATACTCAATGATAATACAGTGGACTGAGCACAAACCTGGAAACAGGAGGGCCTGAGCTGAAATCCAGGCTCTCCCACATTAAATCTATGAGACTTTGGGGATGACTTATCTCAGCCTCAGTTTCCTCCTATGTAAACCTGAGTGGTAATGACTACTTCATGGGATAAGTGGGAGATTAAATGAGCTAATGTACATAAAGAGCCTAGCACATAGTAGGTAATTTATTATATGTGGTCTCCTTTGCCCAGATGCTGTATCTGATTCATTTTTTGTATTGTATTTTTATAATTTATGTCACATTTTCAGCATGAAATTATTTTTTAAATTTCAACAGCTTTAGGTGTACAAGTGTTTTTTGGTTGAACTGTATAGTGGTACCCTCTGGGGTTTTAGTGCACCCATCACCAAATAGTGTCCATTGTACCCAATATGTAGTTTTTCACACCCCATCCTGTCTCACCTTTCCCCCTCTGAGCCTCCGATGTCCGTTCTACCACTCTGTATGCCTTTGCACACCCATAGCTTAGCTCCCACTTAAAAGTGACAGCATATGTTATTTGATTTTCCATTCCCGAGTTACTTCACTTTGAATAATAGCCACCAGCTCCATCTAAGTTGCTGCAAAAGACATTATTTAGTTCTTTTAAATGGCTGAGTAATATTCCACAGTGTGTATATACCACATTTGTTTATCCACTCATTGGTTGATGGGCACATAGGTTGATTGCACATCTTTGCAATTATGAACTGAGCTATGACAACCATATGTATGCCGGAGTCTTTCTGATATAATGGCTTATTTTCCTCTGGGTAGATACCCAGTAGTGTGATTGCTGGATCAAATGGTAGATCTAGTTTTATTTCTTCAAAAAATCTCCACACTGCTTTCCATAGAAGTTGTGCTAATTTACATTCCTTCCCAGCAAAGTGTAAGTGTTCCCTTTTCACCACATCCACTCCAACATCTACTATTTTTGACTTTTTAATAATGGTCATTTTGGCTGGGGTAAGGTAGTATCTCACTGTGGTTTCAATTTGCATTTCCCTGATGATTGGTGACACTGAGCATCTTTTCCATATGTTGTTGGCCATTTGCATGTCTTCTTTTGAAAAATGTTCGTGTCATTTTCCCACTTTTTGATGAGATTATTTGTATTTTTTTCTTAGTAATTTGAGTTCCTTGTAGATTCTGAATATTAGTCCTTTGTCAGATGTTTAGTTTGCAAATATTATGAAATCTTGATCAATTATAGTAAATAGGAAATTTTTTGCTACTTAAACATTCTAAGGCATTGAAATCAAGCAATAATAAAAATAATAATGCTAATGAAAATAAGAGCAATCACTAATGCACAAAGCCTTATTCTTTGCACACGTTATCTTATTTTATCTTCATGTTATCTCCGGAGGGAGATATAATTAGTCCTACTTTGCAGATAAGGAAATTGGGTAGTGATGAAATAAGATTTTAAATATAACCCCCGAGCTTAACCATCACTTAGCGATTCTCAGCCATGACTGCACTAGAGTATCATGAGAAACTTTTAAAAATGCCAATGCCTGAACCTCAGTATCAGATTTAGACTCAATTAGGCTACAGTGGGGCCCAGGGATTGTTTTTGAAAACACCAGGTGATTCCATGTGCCACCAGGAGTGAGAACTTCTGACATCAGGCAATTGCGGGAGTACAAAGTAGAGTTTTGTATCTCAACATATGATGTGGTTTGGATTTGTGTCCCCAACGAAATCGCATGTCAAATTAGAGGAGGGGCCTGGTGGGAGGTGACTGGAGTATGGGGGTGGGTTTTCCCCTTGCTGTCATCATGATAGTGAGTGAGTTCTTATGAGATCTGATGGTTTAGAAGTATGTGGTACTTCCCCCCTTTGCATTCTCTCTCTCTCTCTCCCCTGACACCATGTAAAGAAGGCTTGCTTCTTCTTCACCTTCTACCATGATTTTAAGTTTCCTGAGGCCTCCCAGTCATGCTTCCTGTTAAGCTTGAGGAACTGTGAGCCAATTAAACCTCTTTTCTTCATAAATTATCCAGTCTCAGATAGTTCTTTATAGCAGTGTGAGAATGGACTAATACAGAAAATTGGTACTAGGAGTGGGGTACTGCTATAAAGCTACCTGAAAATGTGGAAGCGAGTTTGGAACTGGGTAGAGGGTAGAGGTTGGAACAATTTGGAGGGCTCAGAAGACAGGAAGATGTAGGAAAGTTTGGAACTTCCTAGAGACTTGTTGAAGGGTTTTGACCAAAATGCTGATAGTGATACAGACACTGAAGTCCAGGCTGAGGTGGTCTCAGACGGAGATGAGGAACTTATTGGTAACTGGAGTAAAGTTATTGCTATGCTTTAGCAAAGAGACTAGCAGCATTTTGCTCCTGCCCTAGAGATCTGTGGACTTTGAACTCAAGACAGATAATTTAGAGTATCTGGTGGAAGAAATTTCTAAGCAGCAAAGCATTCAAGAAGTGACCTGGCTGTTTGTAAAGGTGTATGCTCATACGTGTGAAGAAAGAGATGGTCTGAAATTGGGGGAAAGTCACTTTCCTTTTGACTCTTCAGCCAAATGGACAGAAGTCAAAGCCAGAGATGCTGCATCCCTCATCAGCTGGAAGGGGCAACTATGACCTGGGGTAGAGATAAAGGCAAAGTTAGCAGCCAAGATCAAACAAAAATTGAACCAGGTGCTTGGAGCAAAGCAGAAGCAAAGGACATTTGCCAAAATTTGAACTGCAATGTTAAAAGCTCATTTTGGTGGTCAACGTCTCTGTCATAGCAGAGTGGAGCACTCCAAGCAGAGGGGAGAGCATGAATTAGGTCTAGGGCTCACTAGAGTCAGAAAATAGAGTGTCAAGCTATTTTCACTATCAGAGAGCTGAGCTTCATCAAGATTATTGTATTTATCTTAGAACAGGAGACTCAAAACTTGTAATAGCACTATAGGTGTGTCTGATTCCAGCATAGAGGAGCAGAAGTCTCTTCCTTCCACATTCTAGACTTAGCACTTGGAATATACTCTTTTATCAATTGAACTGTCCAGCTGCATTCACAAGATTAGACTATCCTAAGGCTACATAAATCCTGAGCCCCAGCTAATTTTCATGTTGTCACATTCCTCAGTGATACCAGTGTGTTTCTGGGTTCCATTACATGCAATTTCTTTTGGATCCATACCATATTTATGTGCCATGTGTTGGACAGTGCATGTCCCCAGAGAGTCTCAGAGAGGTCCTGACTTGTCCAAAGTGGAAAACCCTAGACCCAGGTCTCAAATCCGTGGCCTCATGTTCCAGTGTCATGATTATTTTGTTCTAGCAAGGAGGATCTATTAGCTTCAAAATCCATGCCTTGATTTCTGAAGTGACAGGTATAAGCAGTGCTGCTTAATCCTGATGCTTTGGCTGGAGAATACTGATGTGTGGGGTCAATCAGTTACTTTTGACAGATCCAAGCTTTTTTACTCCAAGCAAGCCTGTTTCTGATCTTTGGTGGCTTGGAATGAGGTAGAACTGTTATTATTATTATTATTATTATTATTATTATTATTATTATTATTATTATACTTTACATTCTGGGATACATTTGGAGAACCTGCAGGTTTGTTACATAGGTATACACATGCCATAGTGGTTTGCTTCACCCATTAACCCATCATCTACATTAGGTATTTCTCCTAATGCTATCCCTCATCTAGCTCTCCACCAACTGACAGGCCCCAGTGTGTGATGTTCCCCTTCCTGTGTCCGTGTGTTCTCATTGTTCACCTCCCACTTATGAGTGAGAACATGTGGTGTTTGGTTTTCTGTTCCTGTGTTAGTTTGCTGAGAATGATG
Organism: Homo sapiens; assembly: GCF_000001405.40. NCBI lineage: Eukaryota > Metazoa > Chordata > Mammalia > Primates > Hominidae > Homo > Homo sapiens. The sequence continues at coordinate 106,472,606 of NC_000009.12, forward strand.
GTTTCCAGCTTCATCCATGTCCCTGCAAAGGACATGAACTCATCCTTTTTTATGGCTCACAGTATTCCATGTGATATGTGTGCCACATTTTCTTTATTCAGTCTATCATTGATGGGCATTTGGGTTGGTTCCAACTCTTTGCTATTGTTAACGGTGCTGCAATAATCATATGCGTGCATGTGTCTTTATAGTAGAATGATTTATAATCCTTTGGGTATATACCCAGTAATGGGATTGCTGGGTCAAATGGTATTTCTGGTTCTAGGTCCTTGAGGAATCACCACATGGTCTTCCACAATGGTTGAAATAATTTACACTCCCACCAACAGTGTAAAAGCATTCCTATTTCTCCACATCCTCTCCAGCATCTGTTGTTTCCTGACTTTTTAATGATCGTCATTCGAACTGGCGTGAGATGGTATCTCATTTTGTTTTGATTTGCGTTTCTCTAATGACCAGTGACAATGAGCTTTTTTTCATATGTTTGTTGGACACATAAATGTCTTCTTTTGAGAAGTGTCTGTTCATATCCTTTGCCCACTTTTTGATGGGGTTGTTGTTTTTTTCTTGTAAATTTGTTTAAGTTCTTTGTAGATTCTGGACATTAGCCCTTTGTCAGGTGGATAGATTGAAAAATTTTCTCCCATTCTGTAGGTTGCCTATTCACTCTGATGATAGTTTCTTTTGCTGTGCAGAAGCTCTTTAGTGTAATTAGATCCCATTTGTCAATTTTGGCTTTTGTCACCATTACTTTTAGTGTTTTAATCATGAAGTCTTTCCCCATGCCTATGTCCTGAATGGTATTGCCAAGGTTTTCTTCTAGGGTTTTTATGATTTTAGGTCTTATTTTTAAGTCTTTAATCCACCTTGAGTTAATTTTTTATAAGGTGTAACAAAGGGGTCCAGTTTCAGTTTTCTGCAAATGGCTAGCCAGTTTTCCCAACACCATTTATTAGATAGGGAATCCTTTCCTCATTGCTTTTGTCAGGTTTGTCAAAGATCAGATGGTTGTACATGTGTGGCATTATTTTTGAGGGCTCTGTTCTGTTCCATTGGTCTATATATCTGTTTTGGTACCAGTACCATGCTGTTTTGGTTACTGTAGCCTTGTAGTATAGTTTGAAGTCAGGTAGGGCGATGCCTCCAGCTTCGTTCTTTTTGCTTAGTATAGTGTTGGATATTCGGGCTCTTTTTTGGTTCCATATGAAATTTAAAGTAGTTTTTTTCTATTTATGTAAAGAATGTCAATGGTAGCTTGATGGGGACAGCAATTACTTTGGGCAGTATGGCCATTTTCATGATATTGATTCTTCCTATTGATGAGAATGGAATGTTTTTCCATTTGTTTGTGTCCTCTCCTATTTCCTTGAGCAGTCGAAGAGGTCCTTCACATCCCTTGTAAGTTGTATTCCTAGGTATTTTATTGTTTTGGTAGCAATTGTGAATGGGAGTTCACTCATGATTTGGATCTCTTTTTGTCTATTATTGGTGTATAGGAATGCTTGTGATTTTTGCACATTGATTTTATATATTGAGACTTTGCTGATGTTGCTTATCAGCTTAAGGAGTTTTGGGGCTAAGACGATAGGGTTTTCTAAATATACAATCATGTCATCTGCATACACAGACAATTTGACTTCCTCTCTTCCTATTTGAATACGCTTTACTTCTTTCTCTTGCCTGATTGCCCTCATCAGAACTTTCAATACTATGTTGAATAGGAGTGGTGAGAGAGGGCATCCTTGTCTTGTGCCAGTTTTCAAAGGGAATGTTTCCAGCTTTTGCCAATTCAGTATGATATTGGCTATAGTTTTGTCATAAATAGCTCTCATTAGTTTGAAATGTGTTCCATCAATACCTAGTTTATTGAGAGTTTTTATCATGAAGGGCTGTTGAATTTTACCAAAGGCATTTTCTGCATCTATTGAGATAATCACGTGGTTTTTGTCATTGGTCTGTTTATGTGATGGATTATGTTTATTGATTTGTGTATGTTGAACCAACCTTGCCTCCCAGGGATGAAGCCAACTTGATTGCGGTGGATAAGCTTTTTGATGTGCTGCTGGATTCAGTTTGCCAGTATTTTATTGAGGATTTTCGCATCAGTGTTCATCACAGATATTGGCCTGAAATTTTCTCTTTGTTGTGTCTCTGCCAGGTTTTGGTATCAGGATGATGCTGCCCTCATAAAATGAATTAGGGGGTAGTTCTTCTTTTTCTGTTGTTTGGAATAATTTCAGAAGGAATGGTACCAACTCCTCTTCATACCTCTGGTAAAATTTGGCTGTGAATCTGTCTGGTCCTGGGCTTTTTTTGGTTGGTAGGCTATTAATTACTGCCTCAATTTCAGAACTTGTTGTTGGCCTATTCAGGGATTCGACTTCTTCCTGGTTTAGTCTTGGGAGGGGGTATTTGTCCAGGAATTTATCCATTTCTTCTAGGTTTTCTAGTTTATTTGCACAGAGGTGTTTATAGTATCTTCTGATGGTAGTTTGTATTTCTGTGGGATTAGTGGTGATATCCCCTTTATCATTTTTTATTGTGTCTATTTGATTTTTCTCTCTTTTCTTCTTTATTAGTCTGGCTAGCGGTCAATCTATTTTGTTAATCTTTTCAAACAACCAGCTCCTGGATTCATTGATTTTTTGAATTTTTTTGTGTGTGCGTGTGTCTCTATCTCCTTCAGTTCTACTCTGGTCTTAGTTATTTCTTGTCTTCTGCTAGCTTTTGAATTTATTTGTTCTTGCTTCTCTAGTTCTTTTAATTGTAACATTAGGGCATCAATTTTAGATCTTTCCTGCTTTGTCCTGTGGGCATTTAGTGCTATAAATTTCCCTCTAAACACTGCTTTAGCTGTGTCCCAGAGATTCTGACACATTGTGTCTTTTTTCTCATTGGTTTCACAGAACTTATTTACTTCTACCTTAATTTCATTATTTACCTAGCAGTCATTCAGTAGCAGGTTGTTCAGTTTCCATGTAGTTGTGCAGTTTTGAGTGAGTTTCTTAATCCTGAGTTCTAATTTGATTGCACTGTGGTCTGAGAGACAGTTTGTTACAATTTCCGTGAGGTAGAACTGTTTTTATGCAGCCTGCCTGGGTAGCCGTGCTTATATAAGTGAAAAAAACCACTATGCTATGATGTGAGTTTGGTGACTATTCAGGTAGTGCCAGGGCAGCCATAAGGGCACTGGGATAAGATGGACTAAGAACCAGCAGACTGGGAGCTTAAGTCCTAATTCTGTTGCATTAGACATGGGACCTTGGGCGAGTCAAATAATTTCTCCAAATCTCACTTGTCTTCAGTGTAGAGAATGAGTAAAATCTAAGTAGAACCTTTAAATTAGTGTAAATTAGTGTGCTGGAAAGAGTTGCATAAGTTTTTGAGTGCTACACAAATGTGAAGGTTTTTAGTGCAGACTCTAAAGCCAGTTGTCCATCTGAGTTAGAATCCTGACCTAACTTGGATAAGTTGCTTACTATCTCTGTGATCCACTTCATCTGTAAAGTGAGAGTATTAAGATATGTTCAGCATCACAGACTTGAAATCTCTGGATTGGATTATGTTTTGGATGTAAAATTTTTCAAATATTATAAAGGTAATAAAGTGTACAAACCATCTAATACCTAAAACCTTCAGAAGGTTCTGGGACAACACCATGTAATTAAACACATTAATGTTTTATTTTTCAATGAAACTTGACTATTCGTAAGTGGGATGAATAAAGACCACGAATAGCATCACATCAGGTTTGATAAGGTTTTGCTGTCAAAAAAGTTTGTACCAAACTTGTCTTTTTCTTTTTTTTTTTTTTTTTTTTTTTTGAGATGGAGTCTCACTCTGTTGCCAGGCTGGAGTGCAGTGGTGCGATCTCGGCTCACTGCAATCTCTGCCTCCCGGGTTCAAGCGAGTCTCCTGCCTCAGCCTCCCGAGTAGCTGGGATTACAGATGTGCACCACCACACCCAGCTAATTTTTGTATTTTTCATAGAGATGGGGTTTCACCATGTGGGCCCAGATGGTCTCGATTTCCTGACCTCATGATCCACTCGCCTTGGCCTCCCAAAGTGCTGGGATTACAGGCGTGAGCCACAGAGCTTTTTGGACTGTGGAATTGTAGATAATGGATTATACACCTGTACTACCTGCCATTTAGTGTAGGCATGGGGATAAAATAAGTTACTATGTGTAAACTGCTTAGACAAATCCCTGGCAAAGAGTAATTATTGAATAAATATTAGATATTATTACTTTTATTACCTTAAAGAGTAAAACCAAAAGAGAATGAGGCTTAACAGGCCCTAATGGACATTTCTCAGATTTGTATTAATTAGTGAACTAATAGAGTTGCCAGAGGGGTAATCTCTCATCCCTTGGCTGATGAGAAAATATATTTCTAGTCTGAGCTGTAGTCAGCACATAAAGGAACAACATTGTGCTTTGAGGACACATGTGTGTGCAAGTCAGAGGGAGAGAGGGAGAGAGAGAGAGAGAGAGGGGAGATTACAGGCCCAGTGTTCTGTGCACCACAGCAAAATACTAACAGTTTGCACATATGAAGTATTTTCAATTTCTTCTCATGACTTTTCTAAATTTTATCATTTGAGCTTAAATTACTTTTATAATGAGGAAAAAAAAAAGGTACATCTTCTTTCAAGCCCTCTCCTGTTTTCTTCTCCTAGAGAATTGGTTCCCAGATTCAGGCTCCCTTTTACTAGCAACCATCAAGTGACTAGCTTTTATTGATTGCCTACAATACGCCAGACACTGCAGAAAGTGCTAAGAAGTAAAAGGAAAAACCAGACATGTTGTATGAAAAATCTTCAAATCACTTCCCATTTGTGTAGCAACTTATAGTTCCTACCATGCTTGAACATAAATTCTCTCCATGGGTCTTTCTCTCTAGATTAGGGAGAGTATATATTTTGGTCAACATTTTATCAATGAAGAAACTTAGCCAAGGTCACTTAATCTATTAGCAATGAAGTTAAACTCAACTTCTGAATCACGTGAGTGGTATAGCAGCATAAATCAGTATTCCTAAGAACTTGAAAATTAGTGACACTTTGAGAAGGTAATACTGGAAAATCAAGTAGTAAATTACTGTGGCCAACTATAAGTAAAATCTTCACCTTGGCAACAAATGGTAATGGAGGCTAAAAGTTTGGGGGCCACCGAATGAGACCTTTAAAGAGTAACCTCAAAGTAGTTCAGTTTCTAAAGCTGGATATTGATGAACCCAAGAAAGAAAGCTTCAACCAAAGTCAGATGTTTGGAAGAGAGTACTAGAAACAAACAGAAGGAAGCAAAGTGGATGTGGTCTTTATGTATTCAACACAATCAAAGGGGCAAAGCTGCGAAGTTAGGGACATCAATAAGAACAAAGTCCCTTTGTTCAGATTCTATACTCACAGGTAACCTTCGGGTTATTTTTAACTTCCCAGCGAATCAGGGTATGGGCTGATATGTTCCTAGCAACAACTTTAAGTGCTTAATTTTTGTTTGGTTTCTTTTGACTTTTGTTAGAAAGAATTTGTCCCTAAGTGCCTGACTGGCTTTGACTGCACTGCCAGAGACAAATTTGGAAACCAACAAAGCAAAGATTAGTTCTTGATCCAAACAAGGTTCTATTATCTTAGACCCTGTCCAAGCATTTTGTCCACCTTCTTGATGACATCTCCACTTCTCCATGCTCTGTGCTTCATGCTGAGAGCACAAAGTTGTTCCTCCAAGTCATTCAAGTCAATGGCTCTGTTTCTTCAAACTAGATCTTCCAATCTCACACAGCTTTTTCTGGGCAAAAGGGGCTGGGCCTGCCTGCCCTTGTTAAAAGGAAGGGAATCATTCGGCATTTTGTTCTGCATTCTTCTACCCCAGATAACCCTCTCTAATTTGAGGTTGGCTGGAAATCTGGAAATCCTTATTCTTATCAGGAGAATTTCCATTGCTAAAGGGGAGGGTGCACTAGGCCACATCCTGTGTTCTGGGAGAGGCTCAAGAGTCAGTAGAAATACTTTAGACTCAAACAAATTCAGGGGCTTTCTTAAGTGGATTCAAAAAACAGGCTAGGACAACAGGCTCATTTTAATTTTTCCTGGTTTTTTTTTTTGTTGTTGTTGTTTTCCTCCTTTGCTTTGCAGAAGTCCCATTGCCCCAGGCTCCACAGTGGACAAATTTTCCATTTGCAAAGTTCTTCCCATGGACTAGCAAAACTCACTGCCTGGCTCCTGACTTGAAAGTCTTTGGAGCCTCAGGTGATCAAACTAAGAATTTCTAGACTTAGAGCCCTCAGTGTCTATACAGCACAGCCGCGGGGGCCTGGGAGATATTTGCTTGTGTTTCAGAATGTGTAGAGGTAGACTGCACTCAGGGGATTTGTTCATTTTAGCAAACTTGGCAGAACTTCCCTGCATGACCTAAATAGAATATCTTCCTCTACATAAAGCATGCATCAGGGTATTTCCTGATTTATTCATGAAAGGTTTGCTTTACAAAGGCCTCAGGAACTGTGCAATCTCAAAATACATGATACATAGGCCTGGATACTAGAGTGGCATTTGTAAAAATTGCTGTGATAGATGGGCTGTGCAGTATGGCTGCAGAGTTGGATTAATTTAAATACCCACTGTTGGGGGTTGCTCTTTTAGAGGAAATGAGATCCAACCTGCAGATTGTTGCCAATAATATAGAGAAGTCTTCTGTCTCTGCAATGAATAATTGATTAAGGAATGGAAAAAGAAGTGAATACAATTCATGTGCACTTTGTGGGGACATGGGACCTCTACCTGCTAATCATTCATTGGCTCATTCATTCATTCCCAGCTAGAGGATTAACCTGGCAGCAGCTGATATGATGAGTTCTGTTGAGAGTACATAGTAGTAGGTATATATGGGCTCCTCAGGACAGTAGGATATAATATTTGGAATCCAATCAGTCTTGGAATCTGGGGTTCTCTTTTTACCATGGGAATGGGAGGTATCAATCTCTCACCTAAGAGAGAAATAAAGAATGATTTCTCCTATTCAAAGCCAGGTATTTTCAGGTGAGTCCACTGCATGCTTTCTAATCATGGGTGCATCTAATGCTCTATATTTTCATGCTGGGGTATTTTTAACAGCACAGCAGATGGACCTTGGTTGTTTGCAAAGAAGTTTTATTTTGGAGCTTGTGAAGAGATTGGGGTTAATGTACAATAAAGTGAAAGTGACGTTTGTAAAGACGGTGAGAGCAGAATGCCAGGATCCATTACCCTGATAACCCCACAAACAGACCGGCAGCCTCTATTGGCGAACTGCTGCTCAAATCCCATCAGCATTACTTGCAGGATGCATCACCACTTTGTGGCAAATTTCCAGAGGTTTTCAGATGCCAAGCAACTCATCCTAACTAGGACAAGGAGACATTGTTTTGCAAACTTTGCTTTGGGGCATAGAACTTTGGGGAGATCCAGACCGGGTTCCTTCTTGTTTTGTGATCATGGACATTCACTGGCAGTGATGCGAAGAAATATCTAAGTGCAGGCTCTTGAATCTTATACCCCAGGGCTAAAGTGTCACAATGAGGAGGTCTGATGGTAGTAAGCAGTGTAGTGAGTATGGGCTGAGCCACATGGGGATGGTGTTTCTTTTCAGAGGGAGATGGACATCACCAGGACAGTTTGGATTCCTGATGGGAAGCTTAAAAGGCTTTCTGGGAAGGATCTTCCAAGAAGGGGAACCATCCAGAGGATCATATTTGAATGAATTAACCTTCAGTGATTTCCCATGACCCAGAGGATTAAGTCCAAATCCTCAGTACAGATTCTAGTTCCTTCACCATCTGGCCCCTGACTAACCTTGGGTCTTTCCATTGTTCCCAAACATGTGTTCTAACCCTTCCAAGCTGTCATTTATTCCCTGATGGTAATAGTCAACATTTATCCAGGCCTTTAAAATGCCAGGAACAGGGCTGAAAGCTTTATGCATTTCATCATTTAATCTTCAGAGCAATCTCTGAGGTAGATACTATTATGGCCCTCAGTTTGCAGATGAGGAAACAAGAGCAAAGAGGATATAAAACTGAGTCACAACAGTATTAGGAAGGCTGAGATTAGAAGGCAGTGCAACCCCATGGCCAGGCCTTAACCATGTCATCACTCTGTTACCTCCTTGTCTGGATGAGAAAGACCTTGCTCACATTGCTTTTTCCGCGTAGGATTAATTGGCCTTTCTCTTTATTTGCCTGGTTTAAAAAACATATCTTTGTTCATCAAGACCTTCAAGATCAAATGTCCCCTTTTCTGGATGCCATTCCCGGCACCTCTAGGCACAGTTAGTGGTTTTCTCCTTGGAGTTCCCACATCCCTTGTGTGAATCCACAGCACACACTGTATTGCAATGCAGTGACCTCCTTCCATCGTGTATTCATTCTGTGCCAGGCTGGCTCTGTGGGAAGACTCCTCAGATCTTTCTCCTGGATGAAACAAAGCTCTAGGAGAGTGAACAGCAAGCCAGGAGCAGCCAGCTCTATGAATCCAGGGGTAGCTCAGGCTCTGGGTGATGAGTGTACCCAAATGCCATGTGGCATTTCATGAGTAGTTCTGCAGACAGGTCCAGATGAGTGCCTGCCTGCCACATTCTAGCCTTTATCATTAACCACACCCCACAGTGGTTTTCTTCAACATGTGAGGCAGCGCCTGCATGTCTGATAACCCAGCTTCTTTCTGGAAAGGATTTCCTTTGGCCTGGGTGCATAGCTGGCCCTGCAAGGGTTAACCATGAGGCATCCCAGATCAGTAGAACATGAGGTTTCGATTAACTGGTGGTATGCGGACCAGTGGCATGAGCATGGATTATTCGGTAATAAAAACACACTGTGCAGAATTTATGTCAGAGGTTCACTTCTCTCCTTCCCTGTCTCCTGTCCCAGCACAGAGAAACCAGGCCCTCGTTGCTCTGGCACTGTATTGTAGCAAAAGTTGGTATTAGACTTTCCTCCCAACTTCTGTGAATCCTACTGGGTGTGCTCATCTTGTCTCCAAAATGACACATGGAAAGAAAGGGTGCCAGAGGAATTCATTCCTTCTCCAAAGATGAATCCCAAAAGAACCAGTTGGTATACAGAGTAAGAAAGTGTGAAGGAGACGTAAAAAAAGAAAGGGTCAGGGGAAAGAGAAGTAGGGAGAATAGGAAGGTGAGAGTGTGAGAAAGACAGCAGAGAATGAGTGCATTTAGGAGAAGACAGTTGAAAGAAACATTGGGGGATTCTGAAACCAGTTCTTTGGGAAGAAAGGAAATTTACACCTATAAAGAATTCAGTATGTGGTAGGCAATGTACATCTTTATACATTATTTCATGAAGGCTTACACACTTCCACTAACTTGTCATGCAAGTCATACAGCTAGGGCCACAGGTTTCCACCAAGGTCTCTCTGGCTGTAAATATTCTCACCTCCCTTTTTTAATTATGGGGTTGCCCAGCTACACAAAAGAGAGATTAGCCTCCCATTTTCAGTTGCAGGTGAGTAGAAATTCCCTGATGATTTCCCTTCCTTGGAAACAGAAGATAGACCAATTGTTAGAACACAGTACCCTGGGGATCTCTCAAAAGCTCTGCCCCATGATTCACTACTCTAGGAAGGTGGGAAGCTTTCTGAACAGAGGCCACTCTGGAGTTCAGAAACTCTTATTCAGATCACTGTTATTTCCTAAGCACTTACTATTTGCCAGGTCCTGTGATGTTGACAATGAAGAAATGATAAGTAGAACAGCATCTTTCTTGCAGAGTTCACAGTCTCCTTAGGGTGACTGAAGGATACATAAGCAAAGGTTTCCAAATGCTATGATGGTGGTATGTACAAAGGCCCAAAGCAAAAAGAGAGATCCAAGTTAGCAGGGGGGAGTATGTGGAAAAGTGGGACAAGGCAGAATAAGGAAGCCATGTGCAAAGTCTCGAGAGCGCAAGGCACATATGGATAATAATATGTATAATAGGAAATAGCTGTGGGTGAATAATGGTTCTCCTCTCTAGCTGCACATTAGAATCACAGGAGGAGATTTAAAACACACAGGTGGCAGAGATCCACCCCTCAAAATCTCCAGAGGGACTGTCTGAGTATCAATACATATTTTTTAAACAAAATTTCCAAGGGCAGGTTGAGAACCACTGGTATACTGCCCAGGTTACATCTAGGCTAGAGTGAGAGATGAGTATGGAGCCTAAGAAAGGACTCAGAAATGAAAGGCCTTGGATGCCACTCTAAGCAGTTTGAGCTTCCCCTGTGGACATGCAAGATTTTTAAACAGGGAAGTGACCTTACTTATAGGAAATGAGTCAGCACAATGGAAAAGCTTTGGTTGGCTGAGCCTCAGGGGAAATTCTGGCTTCATCTTCTCCAGCCTGACCACCTGTGCTTACTAAGGCACAATTGCTTTAACTCTTCCTTTGGTAGATACAGCCAGAAGCCTTGGGTCACACTGGGAAACCAGTGTCCTGGCAGTCAGGTGACCCTGGTTCTGATCTACCTGCAGGTACAGACTTGCTGAGGGACCTTGGCCAATTCTTTCCTGGGCTATGGTATTCAGGTCCCCACCCCAAACAATGAGGAGATTAAACAAATCTGTGCTTCTCCATGAGGCTGGCAGTATCTGATTGCTCTGATTTGCTTTTAGCCAAAATGCTTTCTGGACTTTTACATTTAATATAGCAATAAGGGTGATTTCTGTTAATCAAACAGACCTAGGTTAGGAGATGTTGGGGAAAGATGAGCCAGGAATTTCAAATGGTTAGTGCTTTCTCATTTCCTTGGGTCTCTGACCAGATGTCAGTTGTCTTCCTGATATATGCCATCTGTAGGGGCACTGCTTAGGTAAGCATGCTCCTCAAATAGTCCACCACTCCTTCATCAGGATCTTCGGGGGTCAATGACCCAATCTTTTCTGTTGAGATGGAAAAGAATCCAGATTTGGAGATGCCCTGTTCATCCCAGCTGGCCTTGAGCTAAGAGTAGCATTACCTTGAAAAACATCCCTAACAGGCCTCCCTGTCTAAGGCATGACCTGCCCCAATCCACTCACGTTGAACCTAGGAGAACCTCTCAAAAGTTGCTGTGATGCACCTTCAATGGTCCCTCATTTCCCTGGATAAAGCCCAATTTCTCAGACCTAAAACAACCCTCCCTGCATCTGATTCTCCAGCCTTACCTCCTATAGGACTTTGCAGTGTCCTGAACCCCAGGAATTTAGAATTGCTCACTTTTTTCCCAGATAGGCAAGTCCTTTTATGCTTACAAGTCTGGATGCATATAGTTTCCCTCACCTTGCTTACCTGGGAAACTTTTACTCATTCATAGGCCCAGCTAAAATTTTACTTCATTCATTGAGAACCTAACCTCTGTTCCAGGAAAAATGCCAGATGCTTTGAGGAGGAATAAAATGAAATCCTTTAGCAGTGGCTCTGCCCTCTGTACCCTCTGCACTTTCTCCTGACTTTGTCACTTTGTGGTGATTATCCATTTACATTTCTGGCTCTCTCTCTGGATTGTAGACTCTTAACAGCCAGAACACCTCTCATTTATATCTGTGTTCATAACATTGAGCATAGGGCTTGACAAAGAGTAGGGACTGAGTGGATATTTGATGGATAAATGAATAAAGGCATGAATGATTATTTAATAAATGAATGAGTATATAAATGTACCAAGTAGAGTGAGGACTGCTTTAACTCTTGGGACCACTACAGGTGGTAACAAGGAAGAGACCCCTTACATCCCTTAGTCTGGACTAGTGGAGCCTGGAATAGGCCTTCAAAGATCACTGCCACCTTACAGATGAGAAATTGAGACCAGACAAGGGAAAGGGCTTAACTAGATGGTCAAATGACCGGCAGATGATCCTTAGCTTTTCCCACACTGCCAGAATAGACAGCCCCTTCTGAGTGTGTAACTCTGTCATCCTAGCATTATGGGACCCTTTTGTTTCATTTAACTCCACTCTCCCAAACAGTGTGCAGCCTGGCATCATTGTCTTGGAATCTGATCACTGGTTTGGTTGCCTTCTTCCTCTGTCTATTTGATATGCCTAGCCAGGGAGACAGTGCTGACAAGGCAGTCTTAAGCCCTACACTGACAGAAATCAGGTGTCCTCGCTTCATAAAAGAAACATTAACCAATCCGATGGGAGCTGGAAGCAGAAGTGCTGACAAAGATGTAACTCCCAAGGATTCTATGGGGCAAGGAGAAAGCATCATTCTCTCCTGATTTAGAGCCATTATGGGGTTTATAGACAAGACAGAGAAGAATGAGAGAAGCCAGGGCAGAAGGCCACCAGGGTGGAGGTCTCGGCAGCTCAGCTGAAGGGAACAAGGGAGGCAGGATGATAAGAAGGGCCACTGTCTCCTTCTCTCTAAGCCCATGGCACTGTCCCAGTCCTTATTCCCTCTCTCCTGGACCAAAGCATCCCCTTTAGCTCTCCTACTATCTTCATAGTCTTCAGCCTCAATTTGTCACCAGTCCCGTCTCCACACTGAAGTCTAATGGTCTTTCTAAAACACCTGAGCATAATTTAGATGTCCCTGATTAGAATCCTTTAGTGGCTCCCAGTTACTCTGTATAGAATCCAAGCACCTCAGATGACATACAAGAGCTCCCTAAACCCCTTCCTGCTGTCCCTCAAGAGGGAATCCAGTCTTTACTCACCATGTGAATCAGAGAACCTCTGGCAAAGGAAAGATTCAAGAGACAGCACTGGGGTGGTTGATGGCAGGAGCAAGCCCTCTTCCTAGAAGAATCATCTTCCTTCCTAGTCCCACACATTTCCCCCAGATTCCTCTCATGAGAAAGCTCTAGTAGCACATAGGGACGGAGACACTCTATCTTGTGCTTAGACCTATCTGAGGCACCAGATAGGGATTCCAGATTTGGATATAGGGATGAATTGGGTGCAGCCCCTGCCCTCAAGGAATGCACAGTATGATGTAAAAAAAAAAAGAAGTAGTAACAGTTATCACAAAGTGACATGGTTCGGCTGCGTCCCCACTCAAATCTCACCTTGAATTGTAATAATCCCCATGTGTCAAGGGTGGGGACAGGTGGAGATAATTGAATCATGGAGGCCATTTTCCCCATACTGTTTTCATGGTAGTGAATAAGTCTCACGAGATCTGATGGTTTTATAAAGGGCAGTTCCCCTGCACACACTCTCTTGCCTGCCACCATGTAGGATGTGACTTCGCTCCTCTTTCACCTTCTGCCATGATTATGAGGCCTCCCCAGCCACGTGGAACTGTGAGTCCATTAACCCTCTTTTTCTTTATAAATTATCCAGTCTCGAGTATGTCTTTATTAGCAGTGTGAGGATGGACTAATACACAAGGCCATCCTAGAAGTGTGCCCAAAGTGCTCTGGGTTGGGGCAGGGGCAGAGATTCTAACTGTATGTGGAGGAACTCAGGATATCTGGGCTAGCCCTCTGGTGATGATTAGGCATTTCCCAGGAGGAAAACAAGGGAAGGAATTAAAAACTTTCTCTGTGTTATAAACCATGTGCAAAGATGCATAGAAGACACAGGTGTGGAATATTTAGAATACAAGGCATAATTGAATGGAGAGCAGGTGTCACAAGGTAAGAGACATCAGTGGCTGCAGGACCTCATGTGGTGTCCTCAGATCTTTCTCTTTCTTGCTCCATCTCCCTTGTCTTCTCTTCCCTGATGTTGGTCTCATTTTCTCTCTGATGGAGGAGCATCTTCCTTGTGAAGTGGGTAGAAGAAGAAGGTGGCACATGTAGACGCAACTTCAGGCTTACATCATCGCAGCTGGAGGGACTCGGAGGAAGGAATTGTTTTCTCACTGTTTGCCTTAGTTCTGGCTGCTGTATCAAAGTACCACGGACGGGGTGCCTTAAATGACAGACATTTATTTCTCACAGTTCTGGAGTCTGGGAAGACTGAGATCAGGGTGCCAGCATGGTCTGGTTCTGGTGAGGGCCCTCTTCCCAGTTGCAGATTGCTAACTTCTCCTTGTATCTTCATGTGGTAGAAACAGCAGGCAAGCTCTCTGGTCTCTCTTATAAGGGCACTATTACCATCTGGAGGGCTGCACGCTCATGACCTGACTGTCTCTTGAGGACCCCTCATGCAATTACCGTTACATTGAGGGTTAGATTTCATCATCAGAATTTGAGGTAGTGGGGACACAGACATTCAGTACCTAACACTGCTTTGGGTATGTTAATCCCGGGGAAGGGCTCGGGTTGGCCTGCTTGACACATGAATGCCTCCAGGACTAACTCCTGCTCACCACTGTGGAGTACATGCTTGAGCAGGCCTGGGTAACGTGACTAAGGTAAGGCTCTAGGATTGCTGATCTCTCCAAAACCACACAGTCAGAGTCAAGGAGTAGTTCCTCAAAGGAAGATGAATTGCTGTTACCAGAAGATGGGAAATGGTTTTGGACGAACAAAACTGTAGATGTCCACTTCATTTGTGGGCTTTCCTCCTTCAGGGATACTCGGATGACTCTCTGGGAATACCATGGACTTCCTGACCTTTTCTTTATCCAGGGGACTTGCACATAGCATCTTCTCAATGAATGTTTATTAATAATTGTTTTGGTATATCTAACAGTAAAGATAGATGTTAAAGAAAAAGAATAATAATGTGCAAAGCTAAAAATTCAAACACTTTAGCAGCTTTGAAACAACTCATTTGGAAGAAACGTCTTGCTGCCCTTGGTGAGTCTGAAGAAAGAATAAGAAGACACTCAAAGAGCATGTGGAGTGTGTGCAGCTGCGTGTGCACCAGGAAGCAGAGCTCAGCTGAAGAGCTGCAGTCAGCATCCGAGATAGGAGAAGCCTGTCCTGGCTTTGATGCTGCAGGGGATAATGGAGCCACAGTGCAAGCACAGGGCCTTTTATTGATGGGGTAAAAGGAGCCAGCTGGGGTTTGTCTATAGCTGAGCTTCTGATTCTGTCCCATACTTCTGAAAAATACCCTCTTTGTTCCTTTGCTGCAGGTGGCACCTGTCATTACAGGGCATGTAAATAGAATAGGCAGCCCTGGGCTACTTAAGAGATGCCCCTTCCTCAAATGAGTCTCAAACAGCTCTCTGAGTTCGTCTCCCTTGCTCTGTCCCTTTCTCTCAATCAGAGGATTCAGCTGAACAAGGAGCATGATGGTGGCCACAGAACTGTGTGTTCCAATAAAGGGCCACTAACTTTTGTTACAAGATGACAGTCTCAACTTTGCTACAGCCTCCTCTACCATACCAAATCTCTAAACATTATAGAAAAAATATAAAAGAAAAAAAATTCCAAATTGAGTTCCTAAACCAAGAAGTGAGGCCCCAGATGGGTTCAAAAGCAACAAAGAATTCTTTAAAAGCAGAAAGCAGGTGAGATTGGTGTGAAAGGGAAACTATAACCCAAAAGGCACCGAGGAAGTTCTATTGAAAAAGTTGACTTGCCCAGAAAGAGCACATACAGAGAAGAGGAGGAGATCCAGAGGTGACTGAGCTGATGCAATGGGGTTGCACCATTCTGACCCCATTCTTCCCCCTAGGGCAGCTGGCTACTACAGGGCTGCTTGTCTCCAGGCGCAGTGATTTTTCAGGAATTTGGATTAGGGAGATAAGGCAAGACCACAGGTGGCTGGTAACACCCAGGAGAAAGGAGAGCATCCACAGTTGGCACACAAATCACCACACGAAGCTATTCAAATGCAGGTCCTACCACTTCTCAGACCTCAGTGAAAAGGGTGAGTACAATCTAGGAAGCGTGCACACCGCTCCTCTCAAACAGGCTGCGGGAACAAATAGAGCAGAGCCAAACAGAGAAACTCAGCTGCAAAGGTGGATACACAACCCACCCTCACCAACTAATTTGAAGAAAGCCAACACTATGAAAAAGAAATAGCAGACTCAAATTCACAACCTCTACCTGGTGAATCAGAAGGGTGCGAGGAAGCAGTACGTGTCTCTAGGATAAATGAAGTTAAAATCACACAGTTAAAGCTAAAAGGATTTGTAGCAATAAAACATCAACTAGAGCTCATTCATTACAAATTCAGTTGATGAATGTAAAGAAAAACATCCAACAGACCACTTGTGTGGTAGAATGGACACAAGTGACAAGGGAACTGGTGGGCTAGAAGATTGAGGCCAGGAATTCTCATAGAATGTGGCAGAAATGAAAAGATTGGGATAGCTAAAGAAAGGTTAAGAATTATAGAAAACAAATTCCACATTTTAACATCCGTCTACTAGGTGTTCCAGAAGAAATGAATCCTTAAATAAATAATAAAAGTTCCCAGAACTAAGGAAAGACATTTCATAGATTGAAAATACTCACCAAGAATTAAAAAAAAAAAAAATCTGCACATAGAAATTTCAGGATCTCAATGGGGCAAGAAAGTCAGAAAATCATCCAGACAAAAAATTCACCTACAAAGGAAGAAGAGTCAGATTATCATCAGCCATTGCTTCAGCTATATGAGAAATGAAAAGTTCTAGATGTAAATTACTTCAAGCCAAGAGTTCTATGACCAGCCAAAATTTCACTGGTGATTAAAGACAAAAAGATGATATTTCTAGAGATACATGACCTCAGAAAATGTATAACCCACATTCTCTGAAAGAAAAAAATAACTAGAGGATATTCTACAGGAAGGAGAAAAATTCAGGAAGTAGAAGGTGAGATTCATGAAGCAATGATAAGTACAAGAAATAAGAAATTATTGTTTCAGGCCAAGCACGGTGGCTAACGCCTGTAATCCCAGCACTTTGGGAGGCTGAGGCGGGCGGATCACTTGAGGTCAGGAGTTCGAGACCAGCCTGGCCAACATGGTGAA
Organism: Homo sapiens; assembly: GCF_000001405.40. Taxonomy (NCBI): domain Eukaryota; kingdom Metazoa; phylum Chordata; class Mammalia; order Primates; family Hominidae; genus Homo; species Homo sapiens. Next base: position 106,489,426 of record NC_000009.12, read on the forward strand.
ACCCCGTCTCTACTAAAAATACAAAAACTAGCCAGGTGTAGTGCCACATGCCTGTCATCCCAGCTACTCAGGAGGCTGAGCCAGGAGAATTGCTTGAACCCAGGAGGTGGAGTTTGCACTGAGCTGAGATTGCACCACTGCACTCCAGTCTGGGCGATAGTATGAGACTGTCTCAAAAAAAAAAATGAGATTATTGTTTCAGTGTAGACTATAGGTTGGCATATGAATTAAAGAATTGAGAGGGAGAGCAGAATGTAAAAATATATTGATGTTTGTTTTGTTTGCAGAAAAGCAGAATATAGATATTCATATAGTAGTTCTTACTTAGAAAAACATGTTAAAATATGTTTAAATAGATGTTAAAAATTGAATGCATAATATAAAACTAGACAGAGGCATCACAAGAAAACTATAGATCAATGTTCCTCACAAATATGAATGCAAAAATTTTCAAAAAATCCCCCAAAGGATAGCAAACTGAATCCAGCAAGACATATAAAGAATTATAAACCCTGACCAAGTGGTGTTTATCCTAACAATGCAAGGTGGGTTTATATCCAAATATCAACTTAATGGACCACATTAATAAAACAATGAAAAAAATTACATGACAAATCAATACATGCAGAAAAGCATTTGACAAAATCTAACACCCTTTCATGATAAAAAGCACCAAAAAATAGAAAGGGATGTTCTCAATCAGATCAAGAGTATCTGTGAAAAGCCAACAGCTAACATCCTACTTAATAGTGAGAGATTCAATTTTTTGTACCTAAGATCAGGAACAAGACAAAAACGTCTGCTCTTGCCACTTGTGTTCAGTATTGTACAGGAGGTTCTAGCCAGGACAAGTAGGCAAGCAAAAGAAAAAATGGCATATGATTGGAAAGAAAGAAGTCAGACTATGTCTATTATCAATGATAAGATCTTGCATATAAAAAAATCCTGAGGAATCCACTAAACAAAACTATTAGAACTGATTAGAATTTTGACAAAGTGGCAGGATATAAGATCAACATCGAAACATTATATTTCTATAACTAGTAAACTAAGCTGAAAATAAAAATAAGAAAATTATTTCATTTACAATAGCATAAATAATACAGTACTTGGGAATAAATTTAATACTGGACATGTAAGACACAGTGGAAAGCTAAAAAAATTATTGAAAGAAATTAAAGAAAATCTACATAAATAGATACCCAATTTTTATGAATTGGAAATATTAATATCATTAGGATGGCAATACTTTCCAAATTGATCTACAGATTCAAAACCATCCCCTTCCAAATATTAGTGAACTAAGAAATCAGGAAGTTGATCCTAAAGTTCATATGGAAATATAAGGAATTCAGAATAGTGAGAACAATCTTGGAAATGAGCAAAGTTAGAGGACTCACACTTTGTGGTCTCAAAACTTACTAAAAAGTTACGGTAATCAAGACAGTGTGATATTGGCACAAGGATGGGCATAAATCAATGGAATAAAGTTGAGAGGCCAAACCCTAACATTTATGGCCAGTTGATTTTCAACGGAAGAGTAGAGGACAATTCAATAACAAAAGAATAGCCTTTTTATTAAAAGGTTCTTAGAAAACTGGATATCCATATGCAAAAAAAATTGTAGATGCCCTACATTAAACAATATACAAAAATGAACTCAAAGTGGATCAAAGACCTAAATGTAAGAACTAAAACTATAAAACTCCTGGAAGAAAGCAGGAATAAATCTCCATGACCTTAGTTTAGGCAATAATTTCTTAGCTATAATATCAAAAGCACAATCAATAAAGAAGACAATTGATAAGGCGGGAACTTCATTAGATTTTAAAATTTGTGCTTCAGAACACTTTTACACTGTTGGTGGGCATGTAAATTAGTTTAACTATTGTGGAAGACAGTGTGGCAATTTCTCAAAGACCTAGTGGCAGAAGTACCATTTGACCTAGAATTCCATTACTGGGTATATACCCAAAGGAATATACATCATTCTGTTATAAAAACACATGCATGCATATGTTCACTGCAGCACTATTCACAGTAGCAAAGACACAGAATCAACCTAAATGTCCATCAATGACAGACTGGATAAAGAAAATGTGGTACATATACACCATGGACTACTATGAAGCCATAAAAAGGAACGAGATCATGTCCTTTGCAGATACACGGATGGAGTTGGAAGCCATTATCCTCAGCAGACAAAGGCAGGAACAGACAACCAAACACCACATGTTCTCACTCATAAGTGGGAGGTGAATTATAAGAACACATGGACACTTGAAGCTGGGGAACAACACACACTGGGGCCTGTGGGGGTGGGAGTGACGGGAGAGCATCAGGAAGAATAGCTAATGGGTGCTGGTGTTAATACCTTGGTGATGGGATGATCTGTGCAGCAAACCACCTTGGCACATGCTTATCTCTGTAACAAACCTGTGAAATAGGAAAGGTTTCCTTGTCCCCCTCACAGGGTGTGCAATGGGGGTGTGGTTCGCTTCTTCAGTGCCCCGTTGCTCAAACCTCTAGTGGAGCATACAGACAGGCAGGCTGTGGGGCTCTGACCCCACAGCAGTGTCTAGGGGTGAATGTTGACAGCTGAAGCCCCAGTAGGCATGCATTACAGGGTGCTTTTTTAGTTTAGCCCTCCATAGGTGGCTTGTGTTACTCAGCTCAGTTAGACCCTCTACCTTGTTGCAAGGACAGAGGGCTTTCTGTATCCTGGGTTCCTGCCTTGCTTTACCAGAAGAATAGGCTCACAAGTGGGCTTGGAGAATGAGTGCAAGGTTTTATTGAGTGGAAGTAGCTCTCAGCAGATGGGGGAGCCAGAAGGGAAATGGTTTTCCCCCTGAGTCGGTCTGCTTGGCGGCCTGGGCTGGCGTGCCGGTGCCTGTCAGTGGTGTGTTCCTCTCAACGTCTAGTCACCCGTGGGTTAATCTGCTGATGTGCTCCTCTCGATGTCCAGCTGCCTGTGTGTGCCTGCTAGGGTCTTGGGGGTTTCTATAGGCACAGGATGGGGGTGTGGCAGGCCAGGGTGGTCTTGGGAAATGCAACATTTGGACAGGAAAACAAAAATGCCTGTCCTCACCCAGGTCCATGGGGGTGGAGCCCCAGCCAGGGACCACTCCCTTCTGTAAGCAGCACTTCCCTTCCCCGCTTCTGTATCATTTAAAGGGACCATGCTCTTCCATTCTCAGCACTCCTGTATCACCTGCATATCCTACACGTGTACCCCAGAACTTAAAAGCTGAAGAAAAAAAACTGCTTCAAAATATTCCATCAAAAAAGTAAAGACAACCCACAGACTTGAAGAAAATATTTGCAAATCATGTATCTAATAAGGTATTTGTATCAGAATATATAAAATTTCTTACAACTAATTAAGACAACGCAATTAAAAATGGGCAAAGGATTCCAAAAGCCAATAAGCATATAATCTATCTTCTCTAAAGAATATATATTAATTGCCAATAAGCACATGGAAAGATATTCAGCATCACACGTCATTAGGGAAAATAAAATCTAAACCATAATGAGATACCACTTCACATGCCTCACAATACCTATAACTTAAAAAAAAAGACAATAACAAGTGTTGGTAAGAATGTGGCAGAATTGGAACCTTCATACATTGCTGGTGGTAACGTGAAATGATAGAGCTGCTTTGAAAAGTTTGGCATTTCCTCAAAAGGTTAAACATAGGGTTACTGCATGACCCAGAAATTCTACTCCCAGGTTTGTACCCAAAACAAGTATAAATATATGTCTACACAAAGACTTTTACATGAATGTTCATAGCAGCATTATTCATAATAACCAAAAAGTGAAACAATCCAATGTCTATCAGTTGATAAATAGGTAAAATGTAGTATATGTATACAATGGAATATATTTCAATAATAAAAAGGAATGAGATAGCACTGGTATGTGCTACGACATGGATGAATATCAAAATCAGCATGCTAAGTGAAAGAAGCCAGTCACAAATGACCACATATTATATGATTCCATTAATATAAAATGTCCAGGATAGGTGAATCTGTAGAGAAAGAAGGTAGGTTAGTGTTTGCCTAGAACTGGAGCAGGAGAAAGGTGGGGAGCGTAATGGAGAATAACTGTTATTTAGTATGTTTCTTTTTTATGGTAATAAAAATGTTTTAAAGTTAGATTATGGGGATGGTCATATAACTATAAATATACTAAAAACTATTGAATTGTACACTTTAAATGGGTCAAATTTATGGCATTTATTGATAAATTATAAGGCTGTTAAAATGTAATGATAACTACTAGAAGACACAGATGAAAACCTTTTAAATAGAATCTATTTTTTTAATTATACTTTAAGTTCTGGGAAACATGTGCAGAACGTGCAGGTATGTTACGTAGATATGCATGTGCCATGGTTATTTGCTGCACCCATCAACCCATCATCTACATTAGGTATTTCTCCTAATGCTATCCCTCTCCTACCCCCAACCCCCGACAGGCCCCAGTGTGTGATGTTCCCTTCCCTGTATCTGTGTGTTCTCACTGTTCAGCTCCCACTTATGAGTGAGAACATGTAGTGTTTGGTTTTCTATTCCTGTGTTAGTTTGCTGAGAATGATGGTTTCCAGCTTCATCCGTGTCTCTGCAAAGGACATGAACTCATCCTTTTCTATTGCTGCATAGTATTCCATGGTGTATATGTGCCACATTTTCTTTATCCAGTCTATCATTGATGGGCATTTGAGTTGGTTCCAAGACTTTGCTATTGCAAATAGTGCTGCAGTAAACATACATGTGCATGTATCTTTATAGTAGAATGATTTATAATCCTTTGGGTATATACCCAGTAATGGGGTTATTGGGTCAAATGGTATTTCTGGTACCAGATCCTTGAGGAATCGTCACACTGTCTTCCACAATGGTTGAACTAATTTACACTCCCACCAACAGTGTAAAAGCATTCCTATTTCTCCATATCCTCTCCAGCACCTGTCATTTCCTGACTTTTTAATGCTTGCTATTCTAACTGGTGGGAAATGGTATTATCTCATTGTCGTTTTGATTTGCATTTCTCTAATGACCAGTGATGATGGCTTTTTTTCATATGTTTCTTGGCCGCATAAGTGTCTTTTTTTTTTTTGAGATGCAGTGTTGCTCTGTTGCCCAGGCAGTGGCGGGATCTCGGCTCACCGCAATCTCCGCCTCCTGGTTTCAAGCAATTCTCTGCCTCAGTCTCTTGAGTAGCTGGGATTACAGGCGCCCACCACCATGGCCGGCTAATTTTCTGTATTTTTTTTAGTAGAGACAAGGTTTCACCATCCTGACCAGGCTTGTCTTGAACTCCTGACCTCGTGATCCACCTACCTCTGCCTTCCAAAGTGCTGGGATTACAGGCGTGAGCCACTGAGCCTGGCCAATGTCTTCTTTTGAGACGTGTCCGTTCACATCCTTCGCCCACTTTTTGATGGGGGTTGGTTTTGTTGTTGCTGTTGTTTTGTGAGACAGAGTCTCGCTCTGTCTCCCAGGCTGGAGCGCAGTGGCGGGATCTCAGCTCACTGCAAGCTCCGCCTCCTGGGTTCACGCCATTCTCCTGCCTCAGCCTCCCAAGTAGCTGGTACTAAAGGCGCTCGCCACCACGCCCAGTTAATTTTTTGTATTGTTAGTAGAGATGGGGTTTCACCATGTTAGCCGGGATGGTTTCGATCTCCTGACCTAGTGATCCACCCGCCTCTGCCTCCCAAAGTGTTGGGATTACAGGCGTGAGGCAACGCACCCGGCCTGTTTGTTTTTTTCTTGTAAATTTCATTAAGTTCCTTGCAGACTGTGGATATTAGCCCTTTGTCAGATGGATAGTTTGCAAAAATTTTCTCCCATTCTGTAGGTTGCCTGTTCACTCTGATGATAGTTTCTTTCGCTGTGCAGAAGCTCTTTAGTTTAATTAGATCTCATTTGTCAATGTTGGCTTTTGTTGCCATTGCTTTTGGTGTTTTAGTCACAGAGACTGCATAACTAATAATCTAGTTTTTAGAAAGAAAATTCAATAAAGACAAGAGAAGGCATAAGTTGGAGGGAGAGAGAAGCAATCAGAAATCATGGTAAATTGAAAACACAAACTGTGATGCAGGAACAAACCCAAACTTGGTAAGCACCATCAATATAAATGGGTTAAACTCACCTATACAAAACAGAGTCTCAGATTGTATTTTAAAAATTGAATCATTTGCTATTTTCAAGTGACAGAACAATCTTTTCACTAAAATAAAAGAGTGAAAATACTTGGTTATAAATGGTTAGCAAACATAAAGCAGACATAACTGTATTAATATCGTATAAAATAAGAGGTATCATTTCACCCCAGGTAGGGTGGCTATTATCAAAAAGACAAAAATTAGCAAATGCTGGTGAGGATACAGAGGAAAGGGAACTCCTATACACTCTTGGTGGGAATGTTAACTAGTATAGCCACTATGGATAGCAGTATGAAGTTTCCACAAAAAACTACAATAGAACAACTGTATGATCCAGCAATCCCACTGCCACGCATTATCCAAAGGAAAGGAAATTAGTATATTGAAGAGACATCTGTGCTCCATGTTTCTTGCAGCACTATTCACAACAGCCAAGATAAGGAATCAACCTCGGTGTCCAACATCAGATGACTGGATAAAGGAAATGTGCTGTATATACAATGGAATACTATTCAGACACAAAAGAGAATGAAATCCTGTCATTCATGGCAACACTTTTGAAAGTGAGGACACGATAGTAAGTGAAATAAGCTAGGAACAGAAAGTTAAATACCACATGTTCTCACTCATATGTGGAAGCCAAAGAAATTAACCTCATAGAAGTAAGAAGTAAAATAGAAGATCCTAGAGGCTAGGAAGGGTAGGGGAAGGGGAAGAATATGGAGAGATTTGTTAAAGGATACAAAATCCAACTTGATAGGAGAGATAAATTCTAGTGTGCTATACCACTGTTGGATGAATTGAACAATAATATTTATATTAGAATCAAAGAGATATTCAAATATATTGAATATCCCCAACACAAAGAAAGGATAAATGTTTGAGCTGATGGATATGTTAATTACCCTGCTCTGATCACTATACTTACATGTATTGAAACATCACCATGGAACCCATAAGTATGTATCATTATGTAAATTTAAAAATAAAGTATAAAATTAAGATATAAGGGAAAAATAATCGAAAGAAATGATGATGTATACATCCTATTGATAAATGCAACCAAGAATAGACTGTTATACGTGTAAAAAATAGTTAAAAATAGTTGAATCAAAATTGAGAGAATTATCTCAAAAAACGAAAGAAACAAAATTATTTTTGAGAACTTGAACAAGCCTCTCAGAAACGAAAATTAAACAGATAGAAAATAGAAAAGGGTATTAATTTTAATAATATATCAATAGATTTCACCTAATGTATAGAAAACTTGGTACTCAATAAATAGAGATTCCACATCACTTTGAAACACATGCAGCAGTCATAAAATTTGTCCATCAACAAGACCACAACTAAAAAATTAACAAATTTCAAAAAGTTAATTTTATAGGCCAAATTTACTAACCATTATGCAATAAAATTAGAACTTAACAACTAAAAGATGTCAAAAAACAAAGAAAACCCAAACAGGCATCTAAATATAAACACAAGCCCCCACGCACATAGTTCTATACAATTTTCTGATTAATGAGAAATCCAAATGGAAACTTTGGAACTTAACTAAAGAAGTGCCAAAAAAACTCTAAGAAAAAAACTTTAAAATATATATTTTTTAATGTCTAAAGAAAGAATAAAGATATAAGCAGAAATTCTTGAAATAGAAAATCTGCCCAATACTACTGGTGGTTGCACTCGCTGGTTTTCCCAGATGGCGTCTGGGACTCGATAATGAATGTGGGTAGCTGCTTTGTGGTTTGTGTTGCAAAAATGGCATCTTTTAACTGAACACTGCACTTGATCATCTGAACCAGAGGTCCCAGACTTCTAAGGGCATCTCAAGCAGGTCAGACTTTTGCCATAATCCCTAAAGTGCAAGAAGTATAGTCTCTCATTTTTGGCAATTCTTTACATTGTCTTTTAACCTTGAGTTGACCTTCTCCTCAAAATAGACATCAGAATATCCCTCATTCTGAATGTACTATCTAGCTTTCCTTTCTTTTACATTGCCTTTGTGGAATGAGAAATGTTGTGACCTTCTCCACTACTAGTGGTAGATTAAAATTATTTGAAAGTGTTGGAAATGGGACATGTGCAAAGGAAGGTCTTTATTTATGTATTTTTTTTTTAGCAGAATGAGAGTTTAAATGGGTTTTCAGCATAAAGAATTTGTATGCAGCACATTAGGATGTATAGATTGTTTAATTAAATTTTGCTTTATTATTTGTGAAAGCAGGATAAGCTCATTCTTCCTGGAAGTCTTTGTTAAGATTGTTGGGAGTGCATAAAACTGTATGACAAATACTGATCACTACTACACGCCTGGCACTGTGCTAGGTATATAAGACAGACACAGATTCTAATTTTACGGAGCTTCCAGTCCTGCTTCCTGAAGCATGTCTTCCACGGAAAGGTGTTATTTCATTGTAGATTGGAGGGCTTAGAGATTCCACTATGGCTAAAGTGTGGCCTATTAAAGTCTGTTGCAATGAAGAGGCATAGCACATGATGAAGCAGAAGCAATGTCTCCAGGCAAGGCTGACAACGAATCTTCAGGAGAGCAAATTTCCATAAATTCACCATGATCTGAAGTCTTAAGTCCACAGTCTTGGAGGTCCAGAACATGACCTTATCAATACTCCTGGAGAGGAGAGATTTCCAGTGACAGGCTAATAATAATTCACACAAGATTGATTTTGAAATGTCAATTTACCACTTCCCTGTGGCAAGGATCATTCTGTTCTCTATTTACCACACCACCTTTCCAGTACTGAGGTACCTGGAAAGTTGAATTAGCCCTTGGAAGACTGCTTGGAGGGCATGGAAGCATAGTGAAGGGAGGTGGGGAATTTTGACATTGCTATCTGTGGAGAAATTGTCACGCAGCAATGAATACTTTTGAGCAGAATAGAATTTAGTTTGTATCAGGTATGAATCGCTTCATTTAAAAAAATTAATTTTTAATTTTTACGGGTATATAGTAGGTGTATATATTAATGGAGTACATGAGAAATTTTAATATAGTCATATACTGTGTAATAATCACACCAAGCAAATGAGGTTCCTATTACCTCAAGCATTCATTACGTCTTTTTGTTATGAACATTCCAACTGTACTCCTTTTGGTGTTCTAAAGTGTACAACAAATTATTGCTGACTGTAGTCACCCTGTGATGCTATCAAATATTAGATCTTATTCATTGTATCTAACTATATTTTTGTACCCATTAAGCATCCCCGTTTCCTACCCTCACCTCACTACCCTTCCAAGCCTCTGATAACAAACATTCTACTCTCTATTTCCATGAGTTCTGATTTTTTATGTTGTATTATTAGTGTGTAAATGTATGTCTTACTTTACTAGTACTTCTACATCTTCTATTAGTAGTTCTACTATAACTACTGCTATAGCAAGCCTATATAGGAGTTACTACTGTCTTGACTGTGCTAATAGCTTTCCATATATGAACTCAATTCTCCAACCTTTTATTATCTTCCTGAGTTTACGGTTGAGAAAAATGAGGCATGAAACATTTAAGTAAATTGCTCAGTGTCACCCAACTGTTAAGTGGCAGAACAAGAATTCAAATCCAGGTAGCTTGTCTCTAGGTTTTGATGCCGCTAGCTTAGGTCATGGTCCCTATCAGTGGATAAATTCAATCAATAGTTTTTTATATGAGTTGTTAGACTTATTAGGTCAGAGGTAAGTATAAATAGTAAGATGAAAAGAGCCCAGTTTTCTTTAAGTAGCAATCATTTACCCTTTAATCCTTAGAACCTCAAATGAAGGAGAAAGAGTAAAAAAAAATTCTTGGACTAAATGCAGAAGAGGAACTGAAATACTTTCTGAAGTAATTGTCTAACACTTTGGGAATTATGGTATTCACAGGTCTGATTATAAAAGGAGAATTGGAGGCTTACCAAACATCTGAAGAGCTTTCCAGAAGTTTGGTCACTTCTGAATTAGAGAAGTTAAAACCCAATCACCTACTAATGCTGTGGGAAAGTTCTGCAGGTACAGAGTCCCTAATGAACTCACAGGGAATAGACATGGGGCAGGTGGGAGAACAACAGGAAAATCAGTAAATACAACCAAGTATTACAGCAGATAACCTGCTGCACCACTGAGGCTCAAGAAATGTCTACTAAAAAAGTGAATGGCAGTAAGTCCTCAGGTCCTCTTGTTATTCTTATGTTCAGTGACCTCCTCTAGGTGATTGTTCAAAATCTCAAATGGTATCTGCTTCTGACAACTGTACATGTTTTCCATGTTTGCTACTTTAGGAAGCAAGGAAGACTGTTGAAGAAATAAAGAAGACAAAGTTAGGTTGTGCCATTAGCACTTGGGATATTTCAACTCCCTAAGTCAGAATAAGATTAATCATCATGCATTTACTGTATTCAAAATTAAATCCTATGGCTCAAACATCTTTTGAATTCCAAGTTCTAAACTGATATATAAAGAGGGTGAGAGTCCCAAGACCTGAAAGAGGATAGGAGTAGATGAAACTGAAAAGGGTTAAAGTGCAGAGCCACCGGTGATAGGGAAAAGCCACCAGGAGGTGTGAGTGGAGTGACCTGTGGTCAGGTGGGGGTTGGGGCAATGGTGAAAAGGTACCTCCCTTAAGTTGAAAAGGCATTCATTGAGCTCTTGCTGTGTGCCAGATTTAAGGTAGATGCTGAGTATGCAAATGTAACTCATGCTTCACTGAGCTCTACTAACCAACAAATTCTACCCTGTTCTTTCTGGGCATCCCAGGTGATACATCACAGGGGCTCATGAATGTGTCTTAAGCTGGGTCATTGAAGTGGAATGTTTTCACAAGACCTCCTCCACTTGCTACTGTGTCCGGAATTGGTGGGTTCTTGGTCTCACTGACTTCAAGAATGAAGCCGCGGACCCTCGCGGTGAGTGTTACAGTTCTTAAAGGTGGCATGTTTGGAGTTTGTTCCTTCTGATGTTCGGATGTGTTCGGAGTTTCTTCGTTCTGGTGGGTTCGTGGTCTCGCTGGCTCCGGAGTGAAGCTGCAGACCTTTGCAGTGAGTGTTACAGCTCTTAAGGTGGCGTGTCTGGAGTTGTTCGTTCCTCTAGGTGAGTTCGTGGTCTCGATGGCTTCAGGAGTGAAGCTGCAGACCTTCACGGTGAGTGTTACAGCTCATAAAGGCAGTCTGGACCTAACGAATGAGGAGTAGCAAGATTTATTGCAAAGAGCGAAAGCAAAGCTTCCACAGTGTGGAAGGGGACCCCAGGGGTTGCCACTGCTGGCTGCTGCAGCCTCCTTTTATTCTCCTATCTGGCCCCACCCACACCCTGCTGATTGGTCCATTTTACAGAGAGCCGGTTGGTCTGTTTTATAGAGAGCTGATTGGTCCGTTTTGACAGGGTGCTGATTGGTGCGTTTACAATCCCTGAGCTAGACACAAAAGTTCTCCACGTCCCCACCAGATTAGCTAGATACAGAGTGTGGACACAAAGGTTCTCCAAGTCCCCACCAGAGTAGCTAGATACAGAGTGTTGATTGGTGCATTCACAAACCCTGAGCTAGACAGAGGGTGCTGACTGGTGTGTTTACAAACCTTGAGCTAGATACAGAGTGCCGACTGGTGTATTTACCATCCCTTAGCTAGACATAAAGGTCCTCCAAGTCCCCACCAGACTCAGGAGCCCAGCTGGCTTCACCCAGTGGATCGCGCACCGGGCCGTAGGTGGAGCTGCCTGCCAGTCCTGCGCTGTGCGCCCGCACTCCTCAGCCCTTGGGCAGTCGATGGGACTGGGCGCTGTGGAGCAGGGAGCGGTGCTCGTCGGGGAGGCTCAGGCTGGGCAGGAGCCCATGGTGGCGAGGGGAGGTTCAGGCATGGCGGGCTGCAGGTCCTGAGCCCTGCCCTGCAGGGAGGCAGCTAAGGCCCGGCAAGAAGTCGAGCACAGCAGCTGCTGGCCCAGGTGTTAAGCCCCTCACTGCCTGGGGCTTGCTGGCCAGGGGGCTCCCAAGTGGGGGCTGCCGAGCCCACGCCCACCTGGAAATCGCGCTGGCCCACAAGCATCACAAGCAGCCGTAGTTCCCACCTGCGCCTCTCCCTCCACACCTCCCTGCAAGCTGAGGGAGCCGGCTCTGGCCTTGGCCAGCCCAGAAAGGGGCTCCCACTGTGCAGCGGCGGGCTGAAGGGCTCCTCAAGTGCCACCAAAGTGAGAGCCCAGGCAGAGGAGGCGCAGAGAGCGAGCGAGGGGTGCCAGCACGCTGTCACCTCTCACTACCTTGTGAGAAGTACAGATGGTCCCTGACTTAGACTGGTTTGATTTATGATTTATTTTTTACTTTACAATGGTGCAAAAGCAATATGCTTTCAGTCGAATTCATACTTTGAATTTTGAATTGTGATGTTTTCCAGGGGTAGTGATATGTGGTAAAATACTCTCTTGTGTAGCCCCCAGTCAGCCATGCAATCACAAGGGTAGACAATTGACACTCTAAAGTATACTGTGTGGCCAGATGACTGTGCTCAACTGTAGGCTAATGTATGTGTTCTGAGCACATTTAAGGTAAGCTAGGCTAAGCTATGATGTTCAGTACGTTGGGTGTATTAAATACATTTTCAACTTATGACATTTTCAAATTATGATGCGTTTATTGGGATGTAACCCTACATAACTCAAGGAGCAGCTGTATCTTCTCCCTCCCAAGTCCACCACTGAGTGATGCCACAAGACAACATGGGCATAGCTGGTCCTGAACAGTAGCATCCTCTACTGGGGTGGAATGTCTCTCTTGAGCTTCCTCAGGGAGCCCACAGCATGAAAAGCTATTGGTTTCCCCATAAAAGTAAGGAGAACATCTTACTCCACAGTCATCTTTTACCACACTTTGTAACTTAGTACTCAAAGAAATTTCATGAAATTCTAACTGAAAATACCTCCTTTAACCTTCCTTTGCCAGGCTCTGGTGATTGTTCATGGTAGGTGTTGAAGGGTCAATCTCTGCAACAAACCCTACCCTCTCCTAATTGCCCTCCTTACCAGCACATGTACCTCTCAGTCCTTCAAATTACTCTTGCAAATTTTCACCAGCCCACCACAAATGTCTTGACTCAGTCAAATTCTGGTGGAGTCTACTTAGATCTCACTAGAACTCCTCAACGCAAAGATACATGAGGCCTGGTCTTATCTATCAAGGCATGTGGTGAACCCCAGGTGAATTTCTGGTGTGTTACAACTTGTCTGAGGATTGAGTCTATGGATCTAAAAGAGGCAGCAATTAGGTGTGAGGGAGAAGACACAGAACCAGCACCCAAGGAGCTCCTCTGCATTCCTTAGGCCTGCCTTTAACAGCCCTGTAGCCTCTCTGAAGTCACTCTACTTTTCACCTTCAGTTTCCTAATTTAAGAAAGCCAATAAAACCTCTTCTCTACCTCGTGGGAGGTCATGACAATCAGGAGTTGTGCATGTTAAAGTGTTTGTAAACAGCAGACCCTGTCATTAGTTCAAGCAGTTTGTGGCTTTCTCTTCTGCTCCCAAAGACCCTGGGACTTCCCTCTGACATAATGTTTATCTCACTGCAGGGTGTTTGTTTATATAACTGACTCCCACAGTAGACTGTCAGCCCCATGAAGGCGAGGGTCTCCTCCTATTCATTTTTGGATTCTCTTCTCTCAGCGGGGTGCCAGTCATATAACAGATTCTCAGAAAATACATGTTGACTGACTACATAATGAGTGATTTAGGTACAAACATTTAAACTTTTCTCTGGTGTTCTGAATGCATCCCTTTCAGAGCTCTAGTTATCCTAATTGCTGGTAGGAAAACTATATTAGGCTAGTAAGCATATGGTGAGGAGTAGGAAACTATATGACCTTATACCTCATATAATTTCAATCCAGAGGGTCCTTACGGTGATTGAGTCCAAATTCCTCCGTTGTACAAATGAGGAAATTGAAGCTGAGAAAATGTATATGATCTAAGGCCATCTAGACCAGACCCAGACCTTTTGGCTATCAGCTCAGTGTTCTTGATGCCACATTTTTAGATCCTCAAATTGAATTGACACTGTTAATGCATAATGATTTTATAATCTAGAGCACAGCATTGTGTTCCAGATAATAGATCTGTTTCTGGCAGAAAATAGACACTTTGGTCAATGAGGAGATAATCCTCAGTGAGGAGCTGTGAATTGAGAACAAACTGTACAATATCGGTCAAGGTGGGTATTAGTTACTCTGAATGAATCAAACTCAAAGAGCAGCAAATGGATTCCCATCAGCTACAGACCCTTGCTAAAATTAAATGGCTTTGTTCAGCAAGACAAATACTTAGGAAACAATAAAGCTAGGTGGCTTGTAAAGCGAAGAGATGCATTGCAAAGAGAGGAGGATGAGTAAATTAAAGAAACCATCCTAATGTAAGTGTCGATTTCAGAATCAGTCATCCTCTCAATCATGCTTTGTGTTCCTTTTTTTTTTTTTGAGACAGAGTCTTGCTCTGTCACCACTGGAGTAAAGTGGCGCTATCTCAGCTCACTGCAACCTCCACCTCCTGGGTTCAAGGGATTCTCCTGCCTCAGCCTCCCGAGTAGCTGGGATCACAGGCGTGTGCCAACATGCCCTGCTAATTTTTGTACGGTTTGGTTTTTTGGGGGGTGGGGGGAGGGACAGAGTCTTGCTGTGTCCCCTAGGCTAGAGTACAGTGGAACCATCTGGGATTACTGCAACCTCCACCTCCCAAGTTCAAGGGATTCTCTTGCCTCAGCCTCCCGAATAGCTGGGATTACAGGCTCCTGCCACCACACGTGGTTAATTTTTTTGTATTTTTAGTAAAGACTGGGTTTCACCATGTTGGCCAGGCTGGTTTTGAACTGCTGACCTGAAGTGATCCACCCACCTTGGCCTCCCAAAGTGCTAGGATTACAGGCATGAGCCACCGCACCTGGCCAATTTTTGTATTTTTAGTAGAGACAGGGTTTTGCCACATTGGCCAGGCTGGTTTTGAACTTCTGGCCTCTGGTGATCCACCCACCTTGGCCTTTCAAAGTGCTGGGATTACAGGCATGAGCCACCGCACCCAGCCACGCTTTGTGTTCTTAGTGTGAGCCATGTTTGCTGCTAGGAACACAAACGTGGGGTGTGGTCTCTGTCCTCTGCCCTTCCAAACCCAGTGCATGCCATGTAGTTGAGAAGAGGTGAGAAGCTTGAACAGGTGAGCACAGGTGAAGGGCTGGGCTGGCTAGACTTTGGGCAGAGTGCCGTGGGGTCATGAAGGAAAGTGTGGACTGTCATACCTGTGGGGTAGGTGGGGAAAGAGTAGGAGCGCTGTCAGGAAAAGCACAGGCTTTTAAGATAAGCCTGAAAAATTAATGGCTGTTTGCCTTTTAAGCAATGAGAGTGGAAAGGGGAGAATTATTCTGCCAGATAGAACAACATTGAGGCCTAAACCAGCTTGGCACATTTGGACAGGTGGAAGGAGTTTGATGTGGCATAGGGTATGATGGGAGTTGAGAGGGATATGGGGAAGAAGTAGGCAAAGTCCTTATCACTTCCAGTGAAGGAATTCATATTTTATCTTTGTAATCAAACTGTGTTGTATTTGAGTCCGTGAATGAACTTCAAGGGATCCACAAACCTCTGGAAATTACAATACATGTCTATGTATCTATGTGTATATAACTGTTACTGGGAGGGATATCTTCACTTTTACTTATTTTCCACTGCATTCCTGACACCACACCCTCCTAAAACACATATGAGATCAGCAGTCTAGGAAATAATAAATTACTAAAGGATTTTAAGAAAGTGGTAGTGGGATCAGAAACATACTTAAGACTGACTTTTCCAGTACTAGTGTGGAAGATACACGGGGGGCGGGGGGGTAAAGGCAAACAGACCCAGGGAAGACGAGAGATGGAGACACCTGAACCAAGACCATGCCAGTGGTTGAAGAGCAGATCCCTTAAATAATTGAATGTTAAAGTAACTTATTATTTGTTATTACTTTCAGAGCTGAATATGGTATATTAGATTTCTATTCATGCTGTAACAAATGACTATGAAGCTGTTTAAAAGAACACAAAAATATTATCTTATAGTTCTGTAGGTCAGAAATCCAACATCGAGTCTAAATGCATTAACATAAAGGTGTCAGCACAGCTGCATTCCTCTCCAGAGGCTGTTTACTTGTCCTTTCCAGAATCTAGAGGCCAGCCCCATTCCTTGGCCTGTGGCTCCTTCCTCCTTCTGCAAAGCCAGCAACATTCCATCTCTCTGGCCATTCTTTCGTAGTCACATCTTCCATAGTCACATCCCCCTTCACCACAGCTGAGAAAGGTTCTCTGTTTTTAAGGGCCCATGAGATTAAATTGAGCACACCTGGATAATCTCCCCATCTCTTAAATCACATCTGCAAAGTCCCTTGTGTTGTGTAAGGTAATGCATTAATACATTCCAGTGATTGGGATATGGACGTCTTTGGAGACCATTATTCTGCCTATCACAAATGGGGACTCTGAGAAACAGAAAGGGAAGTGTATTGTCTGAGGCCTCAAAGCATGTAAGCAGCACAGTTGGGATGAGGACCTAGGTCTCTTGAACCTCAGTCCCAGGCAGATTCCAACTCTTGAAGCAATGAGGCCATGCATAGATTAGTTATCACCATATTCTATAATGAGTGCGAATGAGTGGATGACACTTGCCTAGGTCCTTTCTGCTGCCTGAGGCCTAAGAAGTGTGGTGCTTCCCATTTCTTGGCCAGCATGGCTGTGGCGCAGCCTGAAGAAAGGAAGTAGGCACTAGTTCACTTCTGTGCTGTCTGGTCTTAGCTAGCACAGACCAGATCTGCCAAACCCTATTCCTGGCAGTTTAGCTTTATCATATGTATGTCACATTTTGGTGATTAAAATTCATCCAGGTTGAGGCTGTTGAGTACATGTAATGGTGCAAGGGAAGAATTCCAGAAATGGAGTTGAGAACACAAGGCATTGTCCCAAGTCTTCCACTGTCATATCAAATGACCTGAAAATATGCCAGTTTCCCATATCCTCCTTTGTGAAATGAGATGACTGCGCTGGATCTAGAGGTCCCTCTAGCTTACCATCAGTGTATAATAAGGAGATGATTTCTGCATTGGCTGATAAATGGAGTGAAATATAAGTATAGAAATCCTACTAGAAGACCCTTTGCTTCTTTGGTTCTCTGCCCTTGATGCAGCCTTGGAGCTTGGCACTCAACAGTTCAGACTGTAGCAGCCAGAAATACAGGATTTCTATAAAGAAGACAGTCTGTGCAAGTTCTGACGAAGCATCACAACCACAGGCTGTGATGGAATCTACACACAATGCATGACTGTCAAATAACTTCTGGCTATGAGCCTTCTAGAATCTCTATACTACTAGAAGAAATTTGTGCATCTCTCTGTGTCTATATGGGTGGCATATATAAACATAATTTCAAAAATCTAAAAAAACTGACGTGGTTCCTGAAACACTAGCTCATTAGTCTTAAGAACTAACCAAAAGGGAAGTAAAAGGAAGAGAAAGGGCCAGGAATAGACCTCACCAAATTACTTTGGCTTTGCACTCACAGGCAGGACATTTGAGAAGTTGAAAAAGTGGAGATTTGAAAAGGGGAAAGAGTTAACTTAAAAATCAAAGAGCTTTTCGGCTGGGTGTGGTGGCTCATGCCTGTAATCCCAGCGCTTTGGGAGGCCAAGGCGGATGGAACAGGAGGTCAGGAGATCGAGACCATCCTGTCTAACACGGTGAAACCCCGTCTCTACTAAAAATACAGAAAATTAGCCGGGCATGGTGGCGGACACCTGTAGTCCCAGCTTCTCGGGAGTCTGAGGCAGGAGAATGGCGTGAACCTGGGAGGCGGAGCTTGCAGTGAGCCGAGATAGCCACTGCACTCCAGCCTGGACGACAGATCTAGACTCTGCCTCAAGAAACAAACAAACAAAAGAAAAAACAAAGAGCTTGTCAAAGCCTATTAAAAATGTAACCTATTTCCCTAATAGACCACACCAGAAATCAGTGGTGAAACTTCACTTAAGATAAAGGAAAAGGCATCCACACCATCTCGGACAGGTGGCTCACACCTGTAATCCCAGCACTTCGGGAGGCCGAGGTGGGTGGATTGCCTGAGCTCAGGAGTTCGAAACCAGCTTGGGCAACACGGTGAAACCCCGTCTCTACTAAAATACAAAAAATTAGCCAGGCGTTGCAGCATATGCCTGTAGTCCAGCTACTCAGGAGGCTGAGGCAGGAGAATTGCTTTAACTTGAACCTGGGAGGCAGGAGTTGCAGTGAGCCAAAATTGCGCCACTGCACTCCAGCCTGGGCAACAGAGCAAGACTCCGTCTCCAAAAAAAAAGGAGTTTCGATTTTGCTGATGTGTTATGTAGTCCTCCAGTTTCTTTGGTGAGAGTTATTTTATTTTATTTAATTTTAATTTTTATTTTGTTGTTGTTGTTGTTGAGACAGTCTCGCTTTGTCGCCCAGACTGGAGGGCAGTGGTGTGATCTCGGCTCACTGCAAGCTCTGCCTTCTGGGTTCACGCCATTCTCCTGGCTCAGCCTCCCCAGTAGCTGGGACTACTGGTGCCCGCCACCACACCCAGCTAATTTTTGTATTTTTAGTAGAGGTGGGGTTTCACCGTGTTAGCCAGGATGGTCTCCATCTCCTGACCACGTGATCCGCCCTCCTCGGCCTCCCAAAATGCTGGGATTACATGCGTGAGCCACAGCGCCCAGCCTGGTGAGTGTATTAAATGAGAGAATCAATGAATTATCCTATAAAACAAAAATGAAAACAAATACCCCTCAGAAAATTCCTGCCAAATTAGCTTCTGCCCAAACGGACAGATTTTCATGCTATACATTTGGGAAATTGCAAATATGAAATTCTCTCTTTTTAAGAAATAGTATGTGTTCAAAAAAAGTAATATAATTTTTTAAAAATAAAAAATAAATAAGTTAGTACAGATAAAGTTGTAACCTACCTCAGTCCATTTTTGTCATCCTTCCACAGAAGTAAACTACTGAATTTAGTGTTTGTTTTTTCATATCTTTTATTTTTAATCACATATGCATGAACTAATAATATTCTATATGTTTTAAAAGTTATAAAGCATAACTATGGTTGTACTTTTCTACAACTTGTTCTTTAGTTTCATCTTTACATATATGTATTATTTTAAAATAACATATATAATATTTAATAATATATAGTTAAACTAAATTGTAGCTTGAAATTCAGTTTTTAACTAACTGTTATAGTCTATTTTTCAAATAAATACTTTGTTAGTCTATTTTTCAAATAAGTACTTCAGTTTTTTAATTGTTATAGTCTGTTTTTCAAATAAGTACTTTGTTCATTTTCCTGTTGAACAATCTTTAGATTGTGATTTTTTTGCTAGTACAAATGATGTTACAGATGATGAAGTAAACATTCTTGTGCATATCTTTTTAAGCACGTGTAAGAGATAAACACTTAGAGCTTTTCAGTTGTAGGGTAACCCATTGTTCAAAATGGTTCTGCCACCCTGCACCCACTAGTATACAAGCATTACTATTGTACCACATTCTAGACAGGCTTTGGTATTGGTCAACTTCTTAATTTTTGCTAAAATGATTAATATAAATTGACATATCAATATTATTTCAGCTTACATTTCCCTAACTCTAAAGGGGCTCAAGCATCTTTTCACATATCTATTGTGAATTAAGTCTTCCTTCCATGTTCTAATCCCTTGCCTATTTTTCTATTGTTTCCCTTTTTCTCATTTTCTTTTTTTTTATTATTATTATACTTTAAGTTCTGGGATACATGTGCAGAATGTGCAGGTTTGTTACATAGGTATGCACGTGCCATGGTGGTTTGCTGCACCTATCAATCCATCATCTACATTAGGTATTTCTCCTAATGCTATCCCTCCCCTAACCCCCAACCCCCTGACACGCCCCTGTGTGTGATGTTCCCCTCCCTGAGTCCATGTGTTCTCATTGTTCAACTCCCACTTATGAGTGAGAACATGCGGTGTTTGGTTTTCTGTGCCTGTGTTAATTTTCTGAGAATGATGGTTTCCAGCTTCATCCATGTCTCTGCAAAGACATGAATCATCCTTTTCTGTGGTTGCATAGTATTCCATGGTGTATATGTGCCACACTTTCTTTATCCAGTCTATCACTGATGGACATTTGTGTTGGTTCCAAGTCTGCTATTGTGATTAGTGCCGCAATAAACACACACGTGCATATGTCCTCATAGTAGAATGATTTATAATCCTTTGGGTATATACCCAATAATGGGGATTGTTGGGTCAAATGATATTATTGGTTCTACATCCTGGAAGAATCGCCACACTGTCTTCCACAATGGTTGAACTAACTTACACTCCCACCAACAGTGTAAAAGAGTTCCTATTTCTCCACATCCTCTCCAGCATCTGTTGTTTCCTGACTTTTTAATGCTCGCCATTCCAACTGGTGTGAGATGGTATCTCCCTGTGGTTTTGATTTGCATTTCTCTAATGACCAGTGATGATCAGCCTTTTTTCATGTTTGTTGGTCTCATAAATGGTATTCTTTTGAGAGGTGTCTGTGCATATCCTTCACCCACTTTTCGATGGGGTTGTTTTTTTCTTGTAAATTTGTTTAAGTTCTTTGTAGCTTCTGGATATTAGCCCTTTGTCTGACGGATAGATTGAAAAATTTTCTCTCATTCTCTAGGTTGCCTGTTCACTCTGATGAGAGTTTCTTTTGCTGTGCAGAAGCTCTTTAGTTTAATCAGATCCCATTTGTCAATTTTGGCTTTTGTCGCCATTGCTTTTGGTGTTTTGGTCATGAAGTCTTTGCCCATGCCTATGTCCTGATTGGTATTGCTAGGTTTTCTTCTGGGGTTTTTATGGTTTTAGGTCTTATGTTTAAGCCTTTAATCCATCTTGAGTTAATTTTTGTATAAGGTGTAAGGAAGGGGTCCAGTTTCAGTTTTCTGCATATTGCCAGTCAGTTTTCCCAAAACCATTTATTAAATAGGGAATCCTTTCCCCGTTGCTTGTTTTTGTCGGGTTTGTCAAAGATCAGATAGTTGTAGATGTGTAGTGTTCTTTCTGAGGCCTCTGTTCTGTTGCATTAACCTTTTGGCTAAGATCAAGCATAGTATCTGTTTTTTCTCATTTTCTTGTGGTGTCTTCATATGTTCTGTGAACTAGTCTTTATATTTTTTGAGAATTGAACTACATATACATACCAATTTAAATTGTACCTAAATAAGCTAGTATTATTATGACCAAATTTTTTGGGTTATGAGTATTGCATATAGTTTCTCTGTCCTTGCTCTTTGTATGAAAGTTGTTATGTTAATATAATCAAATTTATCATTTTCTTCATCTATTATGCACGTATATAAGCCTTTTTAGAGGAAGGAGAATTGCTGCTTTGTTAACACATCCCTAGAATAGTACCTGGCATATAGCAGGTGCCTAATAAATATTTTTCAATGAATAAATAAATGCTATGTGCTTTTTCCCCCTAAGAAATACTTTTCTTTTCCTAGTTCATGCAAATATCTTTCCATGTATTATTCTTAACTCTAAAAAATTTGCTTTTCACGTTTTCGTGCAACTGCAATTATTTTGTTATTATTTAGTGCTAAAGAATCTAATTATATTTGTTTCCAAATGGATAAACAATTTTCCAGGGCATTTATGCAGTAGGTCATTCTTTAATATACGATCAGTCACATATTTAGTCTTTATCCATTCATATGTGCATTTCTAGGCTCTGTATTCCGTTCTATTGATCAGTTTGCTTACCTTTGAGATAAATGACAGTGCCTTAATTGTGACAACTTTGTTATTTGTCTTACTATCTGGTAGGACAAGTCCCCCACCCTTGAATTTCTTAAAAAGTATATTAGTTCATATCAGTGAAGGCCATTTGAGGAGCAGCAGTGAGGCACTCCTACTCTTTTCTGGCAAGGTGGTAGCAGAGGAAGGCTACTAGGGAACTGAAATATCTACCCCCACCCAATGGTAGCAAGAAGCCCCTTCCCCTAACTTGGATGTCAGTGGAGGTCATGTGGGCAACCCAAATTTCTGTGTATTCCTGGCAGTTATGAGGCCATGACCTCTACACCCCTGCTGGAGATGTGTCAGAAGAAGCCAGTTAAAAGGGAAGATTTAAATACATTCCATAGTCTCATCACATAATACCCAAAATGTCCAGGTTTCAACAAAAAAATTATTTCACATCAACAACCAAGATAATTTCAACCTGAATGAACAAAAGACAATTGACAGACATCCATATCAATATAACAGAGATGTTAGACTTATCTAACAAAGATTTTAAAGCATCCACCATAAGAATACTTCAAGGAGAAAATATGAACATGCTTAAAACAAATGAAAAAATAAAGTCTTGACAAAGAAATAAGATATAAAGTAAAACCAGATTAAAATTTTAGAACTGAAAACTACAATAACTAAAATAAAAAGCTCAATGGATAGGCTCAACAGCAGAATGAAGGAGAATCAGTGAACTGAAAGATAAAACAATAGAAATTACCCCATCTGAACAACAGAGAAAAAAATAGAACAATAAAAATGAACAGAGCCTTAGGAGCAACCCATGGGACAATAACAAAAAATCTAACATTTGTTTCATCAGAGTTTCAGAAGGAGAGGAGAAAGAGAATAAGTTTCAAAAGCACTCAAAGAGGCCAGTTGCAGTGGCTCACGCCTGTAATCCCAGCACTCTGGGAGGCCAAGGTGGGCGGGTCACCAAAGGTCAGGGGTTCAAGACCAGCCTGGCCAACATGGTGAAACCCCGTCTCTACTAAAAGTACAATAATTAGCTGAGCGTGGTGGTGGGTGCCTGCAATCCCAGCTACTTGGGAGGCTGAGGCAGGAGAATCACTTGAACCCGGGAGGCGGAGGTTGCAGTGAGCCGAGATTGAGCCACTGTACTCCAGCCTGGGTGACAGAGTAAGACTCTCTCTCAAAAGAAAAAAAGAAAAAAAAAACACTCAAAGAAATGATGGAAAACTTCCTAAATATGGAGACATATACATATATAGATATATACACACTAAGCTAGATATTCAAGAAGCTGAACCTCAAACAGGATAAAACCAAAGAAATTTATTTCAACACTCGTCATCATAGTCAAATGTATGAAAACAAAAGACAAAGCAAGAATCTAAAATGCAGCAAGAAAAAAGAAAAGCACCTTACCTAGAAAGGGAGAAAAACTAGAATGAGTGGATTTATTATCAGAAATCATGGTGGCCAGAAAGAAATGGTACATTTTTCGAGTATGGGAAGAAAAGAACTGTCAATTTGGAATCCCACATCCAAAGAAAATATCCTCCAGGAATGAAGGAAAAATCAAGACATTTTCAGATAAAGAAATCTAAGAGAATTTGAACATATTTATTTTAATAATAATAAACTAAAATTTAGAGCGTTATTTTGATTCTAGAGCTCACATTCTAATGATACTGTTCTTATAAAGCCCATATGTGCAAATAGGCTTTGTTAAATTTGAAAATTAGCCTCTTTTTTTAACAGTGAACATGTATAAATTTATGTCCATTATTTGTTTCATGCCAGAATTTAGGAGATTCATTCATTTTTGTCTTTATGTTGATTAAAGACTGTCTCCCTGCCTATAATTTGTAATGGTGAGTCAGACAAAGCATAGCACCAGATGTATTTGCACATGTCCTTTATTTTCCCAATATATACTATGGCAGACATCACTAATCAATTCAACATTCATTCTTGGTAATCCAGATCTCTAGGTGGAAATTCACAATCAGTGAGAGTTACTGTATGAGATGATACTATTTGTCATTCCTGATATCTATGAACCTACATTCCAGTGAAAGAGCCAATAAACCAACATGTTTTTTCTAACTACCAATACCAACAGCAAGATTTCTATAATATAATAGAGCACAAGCAAAATGTATGACGTTAAATGATACAAAAGATAAATAATACCTGTTTACTGATTAGTTACTCTTTATCAGTACTATGCTAAGAACTTTACACTCTTTATTTTATTTATTCATTGCAACTACTCTGATATAAACTTTTCTTAACAGCTAAAGATACTGAATGTCTCAGTCTGTTTGTGCTGCTTTTACAAAACACCTGAGACTGGGTAATTTATAAAGAAGAGAAATTAATTTTCTCACAGTTCTGGACGCTAGGAAGTCCAAGGTCAAGGCAGCAGTATGTTTGGTTGTCTGATGAGGGCTGAATCCTCCAGAGGTGAGGAATGCTATGTCGTCACATGGCAGAAGGCAGAATGGCAACCTAACAAGCTAGCTGAATGCTGAGAGAAGCCTCTTGTACAAGGTCCTTAATTCCATTCATGGGAAAGGAGTCCTCTTGGCATAATCACTGTTTAAGGGCCCATCTCTTAAAGCTACCATATCACCAACTCCTGCATTTGAAGGAGATACATTCAAATCATAGCCTTGAGGTTCACAGAAATTAATTACCATAAAGATAATGTAAGTAGAAAAGTGATCAGTGTCTGTATGAACTCAAACGCTGTGTTCTATCACTTATACCTATTATGCTGCCCCTCTCTGACAGGATCAAACTTATACACTAGTTATATTTAAACTACTTTCCTGTTATTAAGAATGTATCTAATTATACGGCTAGAAACCTCAAGAGTATCTCCTGAAATACTCTCAAACCAGGAGTGTCCAGTCTTTTGGCTTCCTTGGGTTACGTTGGGGGAAGAATTGTCTTGGGTCACACATAAAATACACTAACACTAACAATAGCTGATGAGCTTGAAAAAAAATCACACACAAAAAATCTCGTAGTGTTTTAAGAAACTTTACGAATTTGTATTGGGCCACATTCAAAGCCTTCCTGAGCCACATGTAGCCCCTGGGCTGCAGGGTAGACAAGCTCGTCTTAAACTAAAAAAGAGTTTAGAACTAAAATAAATATATAAAATCAACAGCTCTTTTTCGTTTTTCCCCCCATACATAAGTGTTTATAGCAGCTTTATTTATAATGGTCCCAAACTGGAAAGAGTCCAAATGTTCTTCAACTAGTAAATGGGTAAACAAACTGGTACATCCTTTTAACGGAATACTCAGCAATAAAAAAATATGAACTACTGATATATGCCACACTTGAATGAGTCTTAAAAGCTTCATACTAAGTAGCAGAAACCAGCTACAAAAGGTTACATGTCTGTGATTTCATTTATATGACATTTTGTGAAAGGCAAAATAGGAACAGAAATCAGATCAGTGGTTGCCAAGAGCTGGAAGTGGAGACAGGGATGATCCCAAAAGGGTGCAAGGGAATTTTTCAAGATGATGCGGGTGTTCTATGTCTTGATTGTGGTGGTGGTCGTTACTCAACTCTAGGCAGCCATTGAAATCTATCAAATTATATACTTAAAACTGGTGAATTTTATTCTGTGTAAATCGTACCTAACTAAAACTGATTTCTTATTTTTTTTTTATTATACTTTAAGTTCTGGGATACATGTTCAGAACGTTCAGAACGTGTTACATAGTTATACACACTCCATGGTGGTTTGCTGCACCCATCATCAACTTGTCATCTACATTATGTATTTCTTCTAATGCTATCTCTCCCCTAGGCCAAACGCCCTGACAGGCCCCTGTGTGTGATGTTCCCATCCCTGTGTCCGTGTGTTCTCACTGTTCAACTCTCACTTACGAGTGAGAATATGTGGTGTTTGGCTTTCTGTTCCTTTGTTAGTTTGCTAAGAATGATGGTTTCCAGCTTCATCCACGTCCCTCCAAAGGACATGAACGCATCCTTTATATGGCTGTATAATATTCCATGGTGTAAATGTGCCACATTTTCTTTATCCAGTCTATCACTGATGGGCATTTGGGTTGGTTCCAAGTCTTTGCTATTGTGAACAGTGCTGCAATAAACATATGTGTGCATGTGTCTTTATAGTAGAATGATTTATAATTCTTTGGGTATATACCCAGTAATGGGATTGTTGGTTCATATGGTATTTCTGGTTCTAGATCCTTGAAGAATCACCACACTGTCTTCCACAATGGTTGAACTAATTTACACTCCCACCAACAGTGTAAAAGTGTGCCCATTTCTCAACATCCTCTCCAGCATCTATTGTTTCCTGCCTTTTTAACGATCACCATTCTAACTGGTATGAGATTGACAAACCTGACAAAAACAAGCAATGGGGAAAGGATTCCCTATTTAATAAATGGTTTTGGGAAAACTGGCTAGCCATATGCAGAAAACTGAAACTGGACCCCTTCCTTACACCTTATACAAAAATTAACTCAAGATGGATTAAAGGCTTAAATGTAAGACCTAAAACCATAAAAACCCTAGAAGAAAACCTAAAATACCAATCAGGACATAGGCATGGAGAAAGACTTCATGACCAAAACACCAAATGCAATGGCAACAAAAGCCAAAATTGACAAATGGGATCTGATTAAACTAAAGAGCTTCTGCACAGCAAAAGAAACTCTCATCAGAGTGAACGGGCAACCTACAGAATGGGAGAAAATTTTTGCGATCTATCCATCTGACAAAGGGCTAATAGCCAGAATCTACAAAGAACTTAAACAAATTTACAAGAAAAAAACCACCCCATCAAAAAGTGAGTGAAGGATACCAACAAACAAACACTTCTCAAAAGAAGACATTTTATGCGGCCAACAAACATATGAAAAAAAGCTCATCATCACTGGTCATTGGAGAAATGCAAATCAAAATAGCTCTTTTTCATACAAGAATAGCATAAAATATTAAATACTTTGAAGTTATCCTAATGAGATATTTGTAGCATTTCCACAGGAAAAAACTACAGAATATTACTGAGGTAATATCTATGTTCATATGGATATCTATCTACCTACCTACCATTTGTTTATCTATCTATCTAAAGGTGGAAGGGTATGTGTTTCCAAATACTAATGAGATTTTAATTTTTCCACGTTGTTATAGGATTAATGCCATTCTTCTCAAATTCATAAAGGTTCATGTGTGTTTTATATCAAGCCTGATGAGATACTTCTAAAATTGAGAAATATTTAATAGATGGGGTTATAAAAAGACTTTGGAATCATTAAACAACCAGTGAAAACATGAAGAAAAGAAGTAATACAAAAAGAACTAAATTAAATTAAAATTTTTTTCTGTACGTAGGAACTCAAGTTCAAAGTCACAAAGTGAGAAAATAAGTCCTACTTGGCAAATAACTAATATTCTTAATGCTTAAATACTTACAAATGGAATTCCAGTTTTCTACACTTCCCTCAAAGCAATGAAATAATACCAGTAATCTTGAAAAGTGACATATGAAAATGTTAATACTATATCACAAAGCTTTACAAAGTGATGTATTCAAAACTATATAAATAAATCAAGATGGAATCCTAGAAAAAAATATGCAAGTAACCCTGAGTAATACAAGAGAAATAAGGGAACAAGAAAGAGAGAAAATAAAATAAATGATAAAATGACATAAGTAAGTTCTCACATGCCAATAATTATTTTAAATAGCAAAGGTCTAACTACACACAATAAAATGTAAATATTGGCAGGATAGATCAAGAAAAAAAACATGATCCAGCTCTGTGGTGTCTAAAAAAAATTAATTTCAAAGACAACAACATAAGTAGTTCAAAAGCAAAATGATGGAAAAAAAATGTATACCATGTAAACATTCATTTAAAAAATCAGGAGTTGCTATGTCAATATCGGATAGATTATGCTTCACAACAAAAACATTACTAGAGACGAACAGGGACATTACATAGATAAAAGGATTAATCCACTCGCCAAAAAAATTCTAAATGTATGTACCCCAGACAACAGAGCCTCAAATATATGAAGCAAAAGCTGATAGAGCTGAAAGGACAAATTCACAGTCAAAGCTGGGAACGGCAACTCCTCACCTTCAGAAAACTGATAAAACTAACATAAAATCAGCAAAGATATATAACTAAACAACACTGTCAACCAATCAATCTATATATGTTCTAATTGACATAGATAGAACATTTACCTGACAACAGCAAAATGTACGTTTTCTTCAAGCACCCATGGAACATTCACCAATGTAAATCACAAATCATATCCTGGAAACTTCAATTTAAAAGAATTGAAATCACAGAGTGTGTTCTCTGACTACACTGGAAGTGAATAAGAAATCAACAATAGAAGGATGACAGAAAAATCTCCAAGCACTTGAAAACTAAAGAAAACATATCTAAATAACCCATGAGTCAAAGAGTCTCAGGGAAAATAAAAGATATACATTAAACTGCATAAAAATGAAAATATGACTGTTAAAATTTATGGAACACAGCTAAAGCAGTGCTGAGAGGAAATTTTATAGCACTGTTTATATTAGAAAAGAGGAAATGTTTCAAATCAGTAACCTAAGCTCCCACATCAAGAACTTAGGAGCAGAAGAACAACCCAGAGCAAGTGGAAGGATGAAAAAAAAAAACAGTAAGAGCCAGAAATCAATAAAAATGAAACTAGAAAACCACAGAAAAAACAGTGAAACAAATAACAGGCTCTTCGAAAACATCAATAAAATTGATAGACCTTTAGCAAAACTGACAAAAAAGAAAACACAAATTACCAACATAAAAAATGAAAATGTTTGTATCACTACACACCCTGCGATATCAAAAGGATAATAATGGAATACCATGAACAATTCTACACACATACATTCAACAACTTAGATGAAATGGACCAATTTTTTGACATAAACTACCACAAGTCACCCAATATGAAATACATAATTTTAATAGCATCATTACTGTCAAGGAAATTAAATTTTGAATTAAAAAATTCCCCACAAAGAAATCTTTAAGTCCAGAACATTATACCAAACCTTTAAAAAGGAATTAACACTAATTCTACACAATCTTTTCCAGACACTAGAAGAGGGAATACTTTCCAATTCATTTTATGAAGCAGTATGACCCTGATACCAAAATCAGACAAAGATGATACCCTTCAAAAAAAGAAAAATACCAATATTCCTCATGAATAAAGAGTTAAAATCCTTAACAAAATATTAATAAATACAATTCAGCAACATACAAAAATAAATATACACCATGACCAAGTGGGGTTTATTCCGGGATACAAAGACAGTTCAATATTCTAAAATCAACCAACACAGTTACCATATTAACAGGATAAAAAATCACATGATCATATCAATTGATTCAGAAAAAAGATAAGACAAAATTTGACATCCATTTATGATAAAAACTCCCAGCAAACTGGGAATAAAGTGGAAATGTTTCAACTTATTAAATAACATCTACAAAAAACCCCTACAATTTACATTATTTTTGATGGTGAAAAAGACTGTTTCTTTCCTACGATCAATAAGGCAAAAATGTTCACTCTCACAACTCTTATTCAGCATAATGATGTAAGTTCTAGCCAGCATTATAAGGCAAGAAAAGTAAATAAAAGCTGTACAAATCAAAAAAGAAGAAATAAAACTGTTACTATTTGCAGATGATGTAACTGACCACAGAGAAAAGCTCAAGGGGTCAACAACCACAACAAAAAATCCTAGGACTAATAAGTAAGTACAGTAGGATCACAAGACACAAGATAAATACAAAAACATATATTGCAATTCTATATATTAACAATGGAAATGTGGACAACAATGTTTAAGAGAAAAGAGGACTAATTTTAGGAATAAAAAATATTTCAAAGCATGTTTTCAGACAGAGAATAAATACACTATGAGAAACTCATCTTTCTTTTGTGTATATGCTTGGGTAATCGCTGTGCTAAAGGGCATATACACAGCCAAGTCTAAAACTTTCTGAATTGTGTAATAGAAATACTACCTCTGAAAAACAAAATTCACAAAATATGACAGATTCTATATAGTCTTCTAACTAGGTAATTCTAACAAAAAATACCTATATAATAACTAACTCCTTGTGAGACAGGTATATTAGTTAAGCTTCTACCAGAGAAACAGAACCAGTAGGAGATATATGTTTTGGTATTCATCCAAGGAATTGGCATATGCCATTCTGGAGACTGGCTAGGCAAGTCTAAAGTCCATAAAGATAGGCCATCAGAAAAGGGTAGGCTGGAACTCTCAGACACAAGTGGAAGGTACAGTCCACAGGTGAAATTTATTCAGCTAGACAACCTCAGTTCTGCTCAAGAAGACTTTCAGATGATTGAATGAGGCTCACCCAAATTATCTAGGATATTATTCTTTACTTAAAGCCAACTGATTATGAATGTTAACCATATTTATAAAATACTTTTATAGCAACACCTAGATTAGTATTTAATTAAATAACTGGAGAGATAATAGCCTAGCCAAGTTGACACATAGAATTAGAACAGAATATCACAAAAGGTAAGACTATTGTGTGTTTTGAAGATTATACATTGTGGCTTGGGGCAAGGAATTTGAAATCACAGCCAATGCTTAAAATTCATTTCTCATAGGTGGTGTCAGTCCATTTATAATCTGAAAGCTACATACCACTGCAAGAGAGCATAGAGGAATGTAAAGGACATGGTCAATGAGAACACTAACGTGATATTGTTGATGTAAAAGAGGCAACATGGGACCTGGATTTTTAAAGCAGAAAGTAGCTATAAGAGGTAATTTATTTGATGGGTCCTCCTTGGATGTGATGAATATATCTCTACCAGTCCTTTCTCAATGTCAACATACCCTAGGGAGACATCACAGTCTCACAAGTGACCATGACTTACAACCAGGGCAATGAGATTATGCAACAGTAGCAGAGAATGAGGCTAAAGGGGTAGCCAGCATCCAAACTCTGCATGGCTTTGTGTTCCATAATGGGGAAACTAAGCTTAATTTTGTGGGTGAAGAGGGAGTCAACTAGTGTTTTAATCTAGGGAGAGATATGATCAGATGTTGTTACAATAAGTCAGAAAATCTTGCACTGAGTGCTTCATCAACAACAATAATCACCCCTTTCTCTTTTTTTCCTAGTTTTCCTTTTATTCTACAGCCAAGAGTGCTCATTATTTTGGACATTTCACAGAGGTGAAGAAGGTGCTGTCCTGGCTTGTGAGAAACACTAGTCCCATTAGAAATAAGATAATAAAGTTTCTAATGAAAGTGCAGAGTCCTCCACATATTTAATCCAGGTTTGAGAAGTAATAGGCCAGTGATTTCATATAGATAGTGGGGCAGATAAAGACATTTCAAGTTCCTTGAATATGACCTTCTACCATTCTATAGTGGCCAGTGAGTCTAGCTATCTGAGTTCCTCTAGTTTCTGTGCTTTGGTGAAACAAAAAGTGCATTGAATTTTGATGTTAGATAAACTTGGGCTCACTCATTCGATAAATATCAGATAAACTTCAGGCTTTTCCACTTATTTACAGTGGAACCCTTGGACAAATCTTTAAGTTTCTCTAAATACTAGTTTCTTTTTATCTTATCTTTATACTGAGATAAATTACAGTCAACATGATGTCTGTAATAGTACCTAACATCTCAATATTAATGAATATAAATGGTCTAAATGTCCCCTTTAAAAGATATAGATTAGCAGAATGGGTGAAAAAATCACAAACCAATTATCTACTCTCTTTAAGAGACACACCTAACACATAAAGATTCTTGTAGACTCAAGGTAGAGGAGTGGAAGAAGATATTCCATGCAAACGGAAACCAAAAGCAAGCAGAAATAGCTACTCTTGTATCATATAAAATAGACTTTAAAGCAACAACTGTAAAAAAGAAAAATAGAACAAAGAAAGTCATTGTATAATGATAAAAGAATGAATTCATCAGGAAGATATAACAATCCTAAATATACATGTGCCTAACTCCAGAGCTATCAGATTCATAAAACAATTACTACTACACCTAAGAAAAGAGATAGACAGCAATACAGTAATAATGGGGGACTTCAATACTCCATTGACACCATCAGTTGGATCATCAAGGCAGAAAGTCAACAAAGAAACACTGGACTTAAACTGTACTCTAGAACAAATGAACCTAACAGATATTTACATAACATACTACCCCCAAAATGCAGAATATATATTCTTCTCATCAATACACAGAACATTCTCCAAGATAGATCATATAATGAACCACAAAACAAATCTCAATACATGTTTAAACACTGAAATTATATCAACTATCTTCCCAGAACACAGTGGAAAAAAACTAGAAATCAATTCCAAAAGGAAAGCTTAAAACTATACAAATACATGAAAATTAGCCAGCTGTGGTGGCTCACACCTGTAATCCCAGCACTTTGGGAGGCCAAGGTGGGCAGATCACCTGATGTCAGGAGTTTGAGACCAGCCTGGCCAACATGATGAAATCCTATCTCTACTAAAAATACAAAAATTAGCCAGGCATGGTGGTGTGTGTCTGTAATCCTAGCTACTCAGGAGGCTGAGGCAGGAGAATCACTTGAACTTGGGAGGCAGAAGTTGCAGTGAGCCAAGATCGTGCCACTGCACTCTAGCCTGGGCAACAGAGTGAGACTTCGTCAAAAAGAAAGAAAGAGAACATTAAACAACCTGTTCCTGAGCGACTTTGGGGTTAGCAAAGAAATCAAGATGAAGATTTTAAAATTTTTCAAAATGAATGATAACAGTGACACAAGTTATTGAAACCTCTGGAATATAGCAAAAGCAGTGCTAAGCAGAAAATTTATAGCATTTAGTGCCCACATTAAAAAAAAGTCAGAAATACCACAAATTGACAAGTAACATCACACCTCAAGGAACCAGAGAAACAAGAACAAACCAAACCCAAAGCTAGCTGAAGAAAGGAATAAGAAAGATCAGATCAGACCTAAATAAAATTGAAACCCGCAAAAAAAAAAAATCAATGAAATGAAAAGTTGGATCTTTGAAAAGAAACAAAATTGATAAACCACTAACTAGAATAACCAAGAAAAAAAGATTCAGACGTGCTCCATTAGAAATGAAAATGGAGACATTACAACTGACAAAACAGAAATACAAATTATTGAGACTACTATGAACATCTCCAGGCACACAAACTAGAAAATCCAGAAGAAATGAATAAATTCCTGGAAACATACAACACCCCTAGCTGAATCAGGAAGAAATAGAAATCCTGAACAGACCAATAACAAGCAGTGAGATTGAATCAGTAAACAAAACAAAACAAAACAAAACAAAACAAAGACCTTTCAACAAAAAAAGCCCAGGGCCAGGTGGATTCACAGCTGAATTCCATCAGACATTCAAGGAAGAATTGGTACCAAACCTGCTGAAACTATTCTAAAAGATGGAGGAGGGAATTCTCCCTAGCTCATTCTACAAAGCTGGTATCACTCTGATACCAATGCCAGGAAAGGAAAGAACAAAACAAGAAAACTAGAGGCCAATATCCCTGATAAACATTGATGCAAAATTTTTCAACAAAATACTAGCAAACTGAATCTAACAGTACATCAAGAAAAAAATTACCATGATCAAGTGGGTTTCATTCCAGGGATTCAGGAATGATTCAATATAAGCAAGTCAATATATGTGATTCATCACATAGCAGAATTAAAAACAAAAATCATATAATCAGCTCAATAGATGCAGAAAAAGCATTTGATAAAATCCAGCATGATTTTATGTTAAAAACCTTCAACAAACATAGACAGAACATATCTCATACATATGTTCTATGAGATATGAACATGGACATAGATATAGGCATAGATAGAACATATCACAAAATAATAAGAGCCATCTATGACAAACCCACAGCCAACATTATATTGAATGGGCAAAAGTGGAAAGCATTTACCTTAAGAACTGGAACAAGACAAAGATGTTCACTTTTACCACTTCTATTCAACATAGTTCTAGAAGTCCTAGCCAGAGCAATCAGGCAAGAGAAGGAAATAAAGGGCATGCAAATTGAAAAAGAGGAAGTCAAACTATCTCTGTTTGCTGATGATATGATCTTATATCTAAAGATACTCCCAAAAGACTCCTAGATTTGATGAATGAATTCAGAAAAGTCTCAGGTTAGAAAATCAATGTACACAAATTAGCACCACTGCTATACAACAACAACCAAGCTGAGAATCAAGTCAAGAACTCAATCTCTTTTACAATAGTTACAAAAAAGTACCTAGGAATATAGCTAACAAAGGGGGTTAAAGATTTCTACATGAAAAACTACAAAACATTGCTGAAAGAAATCATAGATGACACAAACAAATGGAAACACATCTCATATTTATGGAATTGAAGGATCAATATTGTGAAAATGACCATACTACCCAAAGTAATCTACAAATTGAAGTCAATTCCTATCAAATACTGTCATTTTTTCACAGAACTAGAAAAGGCATTTCTAAAATTCATATGGAACTAAAAAAGAGCCTGAATAGCCAACGCAATCCTAAGCAAAAAAAACAAATCTGGTGGCATCACATTACCTGACTTCAAATTATACCAGAAGCCTATAGTAACTAAAACAGCATGGTACTGGTATAAAAGTAGATGCATAGATTAATGGAACAGAATAAGAGCTCAGAAATACAGCCAAATATTTACGACCAATTGATCTTTGACAAAGCACATAAAAAGATAAATGGGGAAAAGAAACCTTAGTCAATAAATGGTGCTGGAAAAATTGGATAGGCACCTGTAGAAGAATAAAACTGGATCCTTGTCTCTCACCATATACAAAAATTAACTCAAGATGGATTAAATACTTAAATCTAAGATTTGAAACCATGAAAATTCTAGAAGAAACCCTAGGAAAATCTCTTCTGGACATTGGCCTAGGCAAAGAATTTATGACTAAGACCCCAAAAACAAATGCAACAAAAGCAAAAGTAATAGATGAGACCTAATTAAACTAAAAAGCTTCTGCACAACAGAAGAAATAACCACAGTAAACACACAACCTACAGAATGGGAGAAAATATTTGCAAACTATGCATCTAACAGAGGACTAATAACCAGAATCTACAAGGAATTCAAATCAGCAAGGAAAAAAACAAATGATCCCATTAAAAAGTAGGCAAGAAACATATAGAGACACTTCTCAGAAGAGGACATACAAATGGCCAACAAACTTATGGAAAAAATGTTCAATCATTGGGAAAATGCAAATTAAAACCAGAATGAGATACCACCTTAACCCAGCCAGAATGGCCATCATGAAAAAGTGAAAAACAATAGATGTTGGTATAGGTGTGGTGAAAAGGAAACACTTATACACTGCGGATGGGAATTTAGTACAACCTCTATGGAAAACAGTATGGATACTTCTCTAAGAACTAAAAGTAAACCTACAATTTGATCCAGCAATGAAAAGAAGTCATTATATACTGCATGTGTATGTTTATCACAGCACAATTCACAATAGCAAAGATATGCAATCAACCTAAATGCCCATCAACTGATGAGTGGATAAAGAAAATGTGATATCTATGTGTGTGTATATATATATATCACCTTTACACACACACACACACACACTATAGAATACTACTCAGCCATAAAAAAAGAATAAAATAGGCTGGGCACAGTGGCTCACGCCTGTACTCCCAGCACTTTGGGAGGCCGAGGTGGGTGGATCACGAGGTCAAGAGATGGAGATTATCTTGGTCAACATGGTGAAACCCCATCTCTACTAAAAATACAAAAATTAGCTGGGTGTGGTGGCACACACCTGTAGTCCCAGCTACTTGAGAGTTTGAGGCAGGAGAATCGCTTGAACCCAGAAGAAGGAGGTTACAGTGAGCCAAGATCGCGCCCTGGTGACAGAGCGAGACTCTGTCTCAAAAAAAAAAAAAAAAAAAAAGAAAAAAAAGAATAAATGTCTTTTGCAGCAACTTGGATGGAACTGGAGGCCATTATCCTAATTGAAGTAACTCAGGAATGAAAAAACAAACTCCGCATTCTCTCTCCCGTAAAAGTGAGAGCTAAGCTATGGGTATGCAAAGGCATATACAGAGTGATATAACGGACACTGGAGACTCAGAAGGGGGTGGGTGGGAGGGGAGTGACGGATGAAAAACTACCTATTGGAAACAATGTACACTACTCAGGTGACGGGTGCACTAAAATCCCAAATTTCATCACTATACAATTAATCCCTTTAACCCCAAACCACTTGTACCCCTAAAGCTATTGAAATATTAAAAATAAACATAAAATGAGACAAATTACCTATCTCATAAACTTGATCTGAGGATTAAATGCAACGGTGGGTTAAAAAAAACTCAGTAAGTTGATCCATGTGTCTAGTGTACATTTTTACCTATTAAATGTCATTTAAGCAGTAAGTGTGCTTTGATGTTGAAACAGAGACCTCCCTCAATATTTATTATTTTCTTCGTTAGCATTTGAACCCCTAATTCTTAGCTGGATACATGGCACCTATGAAAGAAAGACTATATTTCTCAGATTCTTTAAAGCTAGTTATACCCTGTGACTAAATTTCTGCCAATGACCTATACGTGGAAATACCAATGACATGTAACAGCTTCCGGGAAGCCTTCTTAAAAGATATTTGCCTAGAAAGAAGAGTGACGGCTGGAGTTCTTATAGCCATATTTTCTCATGAAGATGAGGATCACACTAGGGTGAATGAAGCAGTGAGCTAACAAAAGCCTAGGTTTCTGAAGATGATGAAACAGCTACTTTGATGACGCAGTTAATTCAGCCCTCTACTGCTACTTCCAGGTTTCTTTAAATTTGAAAGAAATGATCTTCTATGTTCTTTCCGTCATTGTTGATTGTTACTCATAGCTCACCCTAATCCCAAAACGGCAATATGTAATCTATAAATCTAAAAAGAAATACATATTTGCAAGGTATATGCTGTAGTGAACAGCATCAGAGATCATAACAGATAGAATGGCACAAACAAAAACACCCTGGATTTTGATGCAGGACCTGGGTTTGAATCCCAGTCTTTGTCAAGCGATGTTAACATTCCGTTCAACTCTCTGAATCTCACTCATTGTGCTCTCATTTAAAGTAAGATTATATGCCCTCTATGCTTCCTTCCCGTTCCAGCTTCCCAAGGCTTTATCATTTTCAGTATGGTTGTAAGCACCATCTATTCACAAATAGATTAACATATAGGATACTATGTAGTGTAGGTAAGTGATAGCTACATTTTCCTGATTTAAAGATAGAAAATCAGTTTATAAATATTAAAACTACTTTTCTGCAAGTTCCAGGGCTAGAAGTTGTAAATTTGACTGAAACTCCTCACTGATAGAGCAGAAAGTAAATGAAGTTGCAGAAAAAGTAAAACTGAACACATAGGGGAAATTCGTCAGAGAGGAACTTGAAGGCAAAGAGGAAGGGAGACTTGTAAGAAAAAAAAAAACACCTCAGAGGCAAAAAAAAAAAAAAAAAAAGAAAGAAAGAAAGAAAAGCTGCTTCAGGGTGTCCACAGCCACTGTCAGGTGAGTGATGTAAATCAGTTCTTTTTCACACTTCTTTTTTGTGCAAAATATATGTTCTTGGTGTTGAGGGACCATCCTGATTTCATGTAACCTGTTTCTTTGCAATAAAGAAGGCGATTCATTAAATGTGTAACTAAATGTTATTCCATTTTTATAACCTTGCTAGGCTTCTCATATAAAAATAAAAAAAATTTTGTCAGATCAGACAGCTGAACCTCTCTAAGCATCAAGTTTAAAAGAATCCCAACATGATCAGTATCTGCTGAAGTTTTCTTACTGGTCTCCCTGCCTTCTGTCTCTCACTCTCCCATTCAAAAACATATTTCATTCCTCAACTTGGAAAACATAGGTCATCCTTCTAGAAGTAAAATCAGGGAGGGTGTGAAGATGAGCAGTGTCCAGAGCACAGAGTGATAGAGACCACTATGTGGTGTAAAGGCTGCCTCTCCCCTCCCTCCCAACCTGTGCTCACCTCAGACATCATCAGTCAAGCACGGCAGCCTCTAACTATGAGTGTGAATGTGCCTCACAATCCTTTCTTCTGACCGCCATGCTCCAGGCAGCCACTATCAATTGATTGGAGAGAAAATTTGAGGTGAAAACAGTTTGCTATCCCTGGCCTAGAGCTTAGTCTGAATGATGGAACCAAATGCACTGAATTTTATTGAAATAAATGTCAGAAAAATTAACTGAATGGACTCAGGAAAGATAGTTGTCTTCTGGAAAGCAAGGAAAAGATTGAATGTAAAGGACTGCTGGTGCTGTGGCCCCATAGTAGAAAAAAAAAACTAATAAAGTGGGATGAGGTAAAGCCGCATGTACTAGGAATCCTCAGAAACAGAAGGAACTGACCCGGCGTGGTGGCTTATGCCTCTAATCCTAGCACTTTGGGAGGCCAAGGCGGGCAGATCACTTGAGGTCAGGAGTTCGAGACCAGCCTGACCAACATGGTGAAACCTCATCTCTACTAAGAATATAAAAATCAGCTAGGGGTGGTGGTCAATGCCTGTAATCCCAGCTATTCTGGAGGCTGAGGCATGAGAATCATTTGAACCCGGGAGGCAGAGGTTGCAGTGAGCTGAGATTGCGCCACTGCACTCCAGCCAGGGCAACAGCGACACTCCATCTCAAAAAAAAAAAAAAAATTCTTTTTAAAAGAAAGAGACAGAACCAAGGTGAGCCCTTGGAATTATTACCCAGTTCCAGGGACTTAAGTTTGACCATTGTTGCCTAAAAGAGGAAGTGCTTTGACCTGACAGTTGGGCACGCAATGTCCATGCAAACCGGGAGCTACTGTGACTGTAGGTAGGCAGCCTCGCTGAGCTGCCTGTAGGGCAAGGCCAGCCAGAAACTGGCAAGACAAAAGGTTCCTGGTATGATGAATGTAGGCAGGCTCTGGAGCCACAAATGATTCAGATCTACTTTCTATCATGTACTAATTTTGTGGCCTTAGGCAAATTATTTAACTCTCAGACTCAATTTTCTGAACAGATAACTAGGATTATCACAGCATCTCCCTCATAGTGCAATAGTAAGAATCTGGCACATGATAAATGCTTATTAAGTGGTAGGTATCACTGTAGTTATTTTTTCACCATATCTCTGCCTCTCTGGAGAAAGCAGATTTGCAGGATCCCCCCCTTCAAAATGACAAGAGTCTAAACTAATATTAGTTAGGCTACTACTGGGAATGCACATTATTGCCAAC
The DNA here is from genome assembly GCF_000001405.40 of Homo sapiens. NCBI lineage: Eukaryota > Metazoa > Chordata > Mammalia > Primates > Hominidae > Homo > Homo sapiens. Next base: position 106,528,760 of record NC_000009.12, read on the forward strand.
AGATACGAAGCTGATTTGATGCTGGTTTTAGCTGTTGAGAGAGCTGGTTTATTTCTGGTTAACCTTATACTTTTGACCCTTCAGTGGTCCCGACTGAAAACTCATAGTGTTTGCTCAGCCCTGAACTCTGACTTTCTGTCTTATCAAACCTGAGACCGCTGAAAGTTCTAATCAGCTTCTCAGTGCTCCCTTTCCTTCAAGATCCTTGGCCCCTCAAATCCTGGCTGCCTTAGTAGCTCCCCAACCTTACAAACAAGTGACTTTTAAGTATTTGTATTCAGGTTACTAGTTATTCTCAACAGGATTGTTTGTCCCTAAATGCTAGTTGGCCATTGCCAAAAGTGGAGACAAATTTTTACTTATTTAATGTGTATTTAGAAGAATAACTAGCACATTATTACTTAATTTAAAAAGGAAGTCATTTGAAGAAAGTAAACTACCTAGTAAAGAAGTTACATAAAAGAAACACTGATATTTGCAGTTCATTGGCGTAGTACATAGAAGGTTTCAATGTGTGTGCAGATCTTTATTACCTTTGCCTCGATTACTACAAAAGTTTCCTTACTGGTTCCCCTGCCTTCTGTCTCTCACTTTCCTATTCAGAAACATACTTTACTTTACACCTCAACCTGGAATCTTTATAAAACACAAAACTTGGGATATCTACCACTTGACTGGAACCTTTCAATGGATCTTATGTTAGTGAAGCTTCTTTCAGAGTAAAAATGTCTTGAAGAATTAAGATAATTATTTTCTTGCAAATAATAGATCCAAAGCTAACCAGTTTAAAAGTTGGTCAGTTAGCAGTTAGTTAGTGATGTCAGAGTCCTGCACTGGTTTCTCTGAATGTCTTTTTGTTTTCTATCTTTAGACAGAAGATGTTTGCCATGGATCCTAAAATCACATTTTCATACACTGACAAAAGCATGAAGGAATCGAGACATTGTCTCTCTCTTTTTATCACAAAGGAAAATCTTTTTAGAAATCCTCCAGACATTTACCTTATGCCTTACTGGCCAGATCTGAGTCATAGATCAGCTTGCTGCAGCTGAGTCTGGGACAGTGAGAATCTGTGAAGTCCAGCCTCCACAGTAGGAGATGGGCTGTGTCAGTAAAAAAGAAGTAGGTAGCTCCCAGCATTTTGGGAGGCTGAGGGGGGCGGATCACTTGAGGTCAGGAGTTTGAGACCAGCCTGGCCAACATGGTGAAACCCCATGTCTCTACCAAAAATATAAAAATTAGCGGGGCCTGGTGGTGGCACACACCTGTAATCCCAGCTACTCAGGAGGCTGAGGCAGCAGAATAGCTTGAACCAAGGAGGCGGAGGTTGCTCATAATCTGGATGAGCCCAGATTATGCCACTACACTCCAGCCTGGGTGACAGAGCAAGACTCCATCTCAAGGCGGGGAGGGGGGGAAGAAGAAGAAGCAGATGGCTGCAAAGGTGCAGCAAAGAAGAATGACTGATTTTAAACAAATACTAGTATCTTCCTCAGGTACTTTTTTTTTTTTTACATGATGAAGTCTAAACCTCTTATGATGTGTTGGTAAATTTTTATGTTGCAAGAAACCCATACCACACTCAAGTAGTAATTAGCATTTATTGAAGAGATACATGGGAAGTAGAAAAGCACAAGAAACTAATTCGATAGGTTTCAAGGATACCTGGACACCAACCAGCCTAGATCACACCAGCTCTGAGCTCATCCAGAGCAGATGAGCTGAAGTGAGAGTCTCATAACTCTACTCAGAAGCATTGCTTGTTGTGTTGAATCAGTTCCTCTCTGACTCTCCTCTCTCCAGTGCCTGTGTCTCTCAGCCATTTCTTTTCCCTCCGACTGCTCCCGACCATTGACCCTGTGGATTTTTTTTTTTTTTTTCAGATGGAGACTTGCTCTGTTGCCCAGGCTGGAGGCACAATCTTGGCTCACTGCAACCCCTGCCTCCCGGGTTCAAGCAATTCTCCTGTCTCGGCATCCCTAGTAGCTGGGACTATAGGTGCACGCCACCGTGCCTGGCTAATTTTTGCATTTTGTTAGAGATGGGGTTTCAACACATTGGTCAGGCTCGTCTCGAACTCCTGACCTCAGGTGATCCACCCGCCTCAGCCTCCCAAAGTGCCGGGATTACAGGTGTGACCCACTGTGCCCAGCCGACCCTGTGGATTTTACATTCATACTTCCAGTGACAAGATTTGGCAGATCGGTCTCTTTCCTAAAGAGACCAATTCTCACATACCCTAAGAGATTAAGCTCAAGCATTATGGGCCGTGATTGTTGATCCTTTAGGGGACCTTGTTTTATGCTTCCTGGGCTTCTTTGCTTATTTTACCACAGAACCTACATTTCTGTCTTACAATTGTCTCTCCCTGGAGGCTTATTAAAATATAAATTTCCAAGCCCAGCCCCTAAGAGATTCTGACTATAAGGCATGAATGGGCTCAGGAATCTGCATTTTAATCTGCAGGATTCTGAGTGAGGAAACACGGACCACAGTTTTAAAACATCAGATTGATGCATTAACCTTTTATATACTGTTTTTTAAATTCCCTCAAACAGTTTTGCAATTATTATTAAAACCCTGAATTCACCACTGAGGCATCAAAGGCTCAAAAAAGGCAGATGTAGACAATTAGGAAATAAAGGAGCCAGGATTCGAACTCAGTTCTGCTTGCTCAAAGCACCTGCTCTTGTGTCAGCACCCTGGCACTTCCCAGACTTCCTCCTTCCTCTTTAGCAAAGCTGGGCCAGGTCCAGGTCTCAGAGTGGCTGCTAAGGAGGGAAGCAGATGGTCCCTTCATGAGAGGGCACTGATGGAGCCCCAGTGTCTCTCTTCTAATTAGCTTTTGCTAAGAAAGCAGTGGGATCCAGTCAACCAAGTTTTCCAGAGTGGTTAGTTTGAGAAAAGGAAATCACATAGTATGGTGCCAAGTTTTTTTAGCAGTTGCCTTTTCTGCAGCCACAGGAAGTTCTCTGAAGGCTTGTCACTATGTTACACAGCATCTGCGCTTTTCTCCCACTTACTCAAAATGATGGTATGGCAGGAAAATAAGGCCTGCATGGCTTCAAGAGGAAATGCCCTGAGGTGAGGCTTCCAGTTTCATTTACATGGGAACCACACTGTGAGATTCAGAAGATCTGAGTTCAAATTCAGACACTGCCACTCAGCAGAATGTAGTTAAATTATTTAATGTATCTAGGTTTTTCTGCAAAATAGGTATAAGATCTCAGCCTCAGTTCTGTTGGAATTAACTGAGATTCTTGATTTGAGTGTGATACTTTAGTGATCAGGAGAAACCTCTTCCTCAGAGATGGAAACAGCCCACTGTTATTCAGGAAGCACTTGCACAGCCACGTGCTCACTCACTTGCCCCCACACCCTGCATCCCCATGCTGCTCCAGGGAAGTAGGAGAATCCAGGATTTCCTAAAGAATGGTTCAGGATGATTGCTGATCAAATTCTACAACCGACACACACTTGGAGTAACAAAAGCAGACGAAGGTATATCAGGGAACCCCAAAGCACTAGAGCCAGCACAATGACTGAGACCTGTGTCTACATTTTTTATAATATTTAGGCCTTCATCCTGCACCCTTGCCACATCTGTGCCTTCTCATTGCTTACTTGAAAAAAATCTATAAAATGAAAAAAAGGAAAATCTGTTCTGTTCTCTTCTGTAGCCAGCATTGGAAGGCCTCTTCCTTTTACATTGGCAGCAGCTTCTCCCCAGCTTTGGCTACAGAATAGAACAGAATCCCAGGGGACAGAAAGGGTTGTGGGAACATAAAGGGAGAAAACGTGAGTAACAAACATGGCCAGTTAACATATATGTATGGTCAGTGTAGTGCTTTTGATACAGGATTTTTCTCAGCCCCTTCACCAGACTTGCAGGAGGGGTGCCCCTTCTACTAGGCCCACTGCACTCAGCCCCTTGCAGGAGGGAGCATGTAAGCAAGTAAGTGCAAGATCTAGCCAGCTGTTCCAGGCACCAGCACAGGAGCAAGCTCTGTCTGGGGCCTGCAGTCAGATGGCACGCCACCTTGAGGGGAATGTGGCGGCATCCAGGCGAGGGCGTCCCCAACCCCAAAGACCCAGAGGGGGTGTTACAGTGCTTTTTTAGTTCTGCCAGTCACAGTCCAATGGACAGCAGTGTTAGCAGCTCAACTGGCCCCCTGCCTCCTCATGTGGGGTGGCTGCCCTCTGCCAGCAAAGGCAAAGGGCCAGTGTGACAGCCTTTTCTGGGTACCCACATTCAGTGGGCCCCAAGCTCTTATCCAGCATCCAAGAAGCATGAGGTCACACAGATGACTAAAGGATGGTGAAGGCAGAGAATTTTATTGAGTGAAGAAAACGGTTCTTAATGGAGAGGGGGAATGGATAGGGTATGGGAAGGGCAGGTTGTCCTCCCCAAAGTTAGGTTATGTCTTCCCCAAAGTCAGGCCATCTTCTCCTCTACTGATTGAGTCTGAGGTCATTATAGGCACAAGATGGGGAGTGCATGCTGATTGGTTTGTGAGTATGCAGAAAAGGTTAAAGTGAAGACACCACTCAAAGGTGGACATGACAGTGTAGAAAACCAATCAGGAAAGGGTAGATATATGTAAAATAGGCGAAGGGTGGGGATCAATCAGAAGAAAGCACACTGAACAGGAAGACAAGTTATCAATCCAATCCAAGGATTTAACTTGTATCTTGGCTTTCAGGAGTTAAACTGTCTTCAGCTTGGAGGTGGAGTTTCACTGCATACCCGCCCCTATCTGCCCAGGCATTTGGCTGCCTCCTGTCACTATCACTTTGTTCAGAAGAAGAGTAATTATTATTGTTTGAAAAAATTGTATACCCAAGTGTAACATGCATACACAAAGAAAGTAAACAATTTTTAAGTGGAGAGCTCAATTATACTCACCGAACGGACACCAGTAAAAAAGATCAGGAACCAGAACAGTAGCAGTACCCCAAAAGCTCCTCTCAAACTCCCTTCAGTCACTACTTGCTATCCTGGCTCCTACAACATAGATTCATTTTTTCTAGTTTTAAATATTTGAAATCATACAATATATATTTTTCTATATCTCAGTTCTTTTGCTCAACCTTACGTTCACAAGATATGTCTATGTTGTTGCAGGTAGGATAGCTTATTCATTCTCATTCTGTATTCTTCCATTGTGTGAATATTTTATAATACATTGATTCATTGTAATGTCGATATTGGTTTCCAGTTTGGGGCTCTTATAAATAGCGCTGCTATGGATGTCCTTGAACATATCTTTTGGTGGGTACCTGTACTCATTTCATTTGAATGTACATTCGAGAGCTGAAATACTGGATCAAAGTTATGTGTATGTTCAACTTCAGTAGGTATCACCCATGAGTTTTCCAAAGTGGTTATACATTTCCACCAGCAGTTTATGAGAATTTCAGTTGTACCACATCATTGACAACACTTGGTATTTTTCTTTTTTTTTTTCCTGTGTTTTTTTCTTTTCTTTTTAGCCCTCCTCGTGGGTATATAATCAGCCCAGCGAGTTTTAACAAGTAGAATTTCATGCAGGTTTGACAAACCCCATCAGTCCTTATAGTCTTACACAAGGCCACCTCACATATTTATGCTACCTGCTACATGCCTAAAGGCATTTAGTTTGAAACTCTGACATGTAGTCTGTCATTGAATTCTGTGAACAAACATGAACTTGAAAGAGCCAGTCCTTCAATATGGATCCCCAGTGGCAAACGGCCAAATTTAAATAGGATCAAGCAGCCATCTACTGATTAGGGGTCACATATGTACTCTGAGTTCCCTGAAAACCTGCACCTTTTTATCTTTGGGACTTTCAGAGCTCACGTGAATCAACCATTCAGCACACACCTGCCTTGGCCAATCATGGCTCAGCTGCATTGACCAATTAGAACTCAGCTTTACCAACCAGGCAGAACTAAGCATGTTTCAATCCTTCACTTGAATGAACAGACCTATTTGGGAATCTGGGTGGGAACTTTGCTATAAAACCGGAGCCTTCCCTTTGTTCTCTGGAGTGCACCTTCCTTTTACATTAGCAACTGCATCTCCCCAGTTTGCAAACTGTTCCCGGGAATAAAGTATCTTTCCTCCAAATTCCTTTTCAGAGAACTTTTGTTCTTAATTCTAAAACCAATTATGTTATTATTTACATTTTACTGAATCTGAAACTGAAACTCACACTCTTGCTGTGGGACATTGGGTCAATTAAAGTAAGAAAGTGAGCCAAGTGCCATCAAAGGCTGGACTTAAACTCCTACAAACGTAATAATTAGCCGGGAACAAGGCAGGTTGGTAGTAAAGCAGCACATTTTACCAGGAAAACTAGGTTCTAATTCCTGCATGCATCCTTCTGTAACCAGCTGTACCAACTTAAGCAAATTAATATGCTGTTTTGAACCTCAGTTTACTTGCCTGTTAAACAGGGATGACAATGAGATATCTTAAAGGGATGTTTGGTGGATTCAATGAGACCACATAAGTGAAAGTTGGCACAATGACTCAAAAATAGTAACTATCAGTTAAAAGACTTTGATATAAGATAGTGACTTGAGTACAGTTCTCTTAAAGGCCCCCTCTGACCCCCACCAAAATAAGCAAAGGGATAAAAAAATAGCAATTCTGCACTGGCATTGAGAGCTCAGGAAAGTTGTTGGTCACATTCCTCAAACTTTGAGAACTTTCTCATAGAAAGAAAAGAGCTGGACTGGAGGGAGGGAAGTTATCAGACATAGGAAATCCTGGCAGTTGTCTTGTCTGAGGGAAGGAGAACTGCAGGCACAGGCAGACAGAGCTACAGAGAGGAAATACTGCACTTAGCATTCCACCCACAGCTGCAGATTGACAACATTCCAAAAGCAGTTTGCAGAGGTGCTACCAAGAACGCTCAGACAGTGAGACTTTTCCATGATGCATGGGCAACAGCAGAAGGCAGGAGGCAGGAAGGGCACATGTGCCCTTGCAGTGACCAAGACAGAGAAAGCTGGAGATAGACACTGAGTTCTCAGCATGGCAGGAGCATCCAACACAGATGAAGGTAGGATAGGATCCCTCCCTCTTCAGGGCGCCACAGCAGAGAACTGGCAAAATTGCTAACCTAGCTTAGGATCTGAAAGGAGGCATCTAGCAGCCAAACAATGAAGGGAAAAACAGATGAGAGAAAATCAGGAATGATCCACTCATTCTGTTTATGAGAAAACATCAGTCTTGTATAAAATGTATCCTCCTTTGACTTCACTGAACAGAGATAGAACCAAAATGGAAACAGTGAAAAGTTGCTGCAAAATAAAAGGAGGAAAACATCACTCAAGTTTCAGAAGAAGTGCTTATTTTTAGAAAAACTTTACTGAAGCAAAGAGAAGAAACAAAATTAAGGAGTACCTGCTTGGAATTTAAAATGCTGACTAATACAGCTTTCACCAACATGCTCATAAAGACAATAAAAAAGCAAACACACAACCAAACAGCCTTAAAAGATAAAAATGAGAAATAATGTTTCAAATTATGAAATGTATTGGCCCTATAAGACACATGAGATGGACTGAGAAAAACGTAACCATACTTAAGTGCAAGTCACGGACCAATATTGCTTTTTGCAAAAAGGAGACCTAAAAATAAATAGAATGATACTTTGTGTCTTCTCTATAGTGTTAGAATGAGATAATCAGGATCTCAGGAAAACAGGAAATGGACAGGGGGCTCTCTCTGCTCTATACTGTATTTAGAATCAGGCAACATTGTATTCCTTTCCCCGTGTTCATCTATCTTCCCATCCTGACCTTCTCTATTTCTTCAGGGAAGAAAGGAATGGGTTGGAAACAGGGCAGGAATGGAAAGATCAGTAGGAATGACAGCAACACTGCATGCTTGGAAATGCAAGACCTCTAAATAATGCCGTAAATTTTAGGGCTGCAGTAGGAAGGAGAAGAGCACAACAATGAACGTGAGAACTGCAGTCTAAATGCAAGGCTGATAAATAAGGAACTCAGTGTGGTATTTAGGAGGGGAGGCCCAGGAACCAGACTCCCAGTGCAAGAATCCTGAATCTGCTACTAATTAGGTGACCTTGAAGATCATTCCCTGGTTTTCCATCAATAAAATGGGGAGAGTAATAGTACTTACCTTGCAGAGTTATTGTGAGAATTAAAAGAAGTCATATATGTCAAATGCTTAGGCAGGCCCCCGCGTGTAAGTGTTACACAAATATTATTATTGTTATTACTATATCTATTTTTCTTTAAAAGGAGAAAAGTGGTTGGGCAAAGGAAAAGATATTACACTGCTAGAAAAGAGTGCATTATATCAAGACTTCCTAATTTTATACATCAATACAATTTCAAATTAAAGTTTAGGACTCAGCAATGAGTTGTCATTTATTTTATTTTACAAGTAAACATAATTTTAAAAGTAACAACAAATTGCTAAGAATTTAACAAAAGTATGGAAAAACTATCTCAAATAAAGAATTGTACTTTAAATTGAATTAATATCTTCCTACTACATTGCCTGCATTTTTTTCAATATACAGATGGACCAGTGAACGCTTCCTCTCAAATGAGCATTAAAGTCTAGAGTTTGTGATCTGTTGCAAAAAGTGAAAAACTGCTAATAAATGAGAAGTAGACTGGGAAGTATGCTCATCAACTTGCCTACTAGTTATAGATATAAAGAAGGGCTATACTCACCATACAAAGGCCGAAAGGGAACCAAGACAAACCATTTTTGCTGAGGTTAGCACGGCCCATCCATGTCAAGGGCTCTTAATAGCAGAGAAAAGTAAACATGTATCTGAAGGAAGAGAGGGACACAAACCCAAGTGAGCTGATTACCAGATGAAGGTACAGTATAAAGAGAATGAACATTAACATAGAAAATACTGCTGCGTAAAAAAACTGCGGGGAGTAACAGAAGAAACATACTTCTGAAAATAAAACCTCCAACATAGCCAAAATGTATGTTTGTTTGTTTGTTTGTTTTCCCAAGGTTACTTTCTTTTTTTTTTTTTAATTATACTTTAAGTTTTAGGGTACATGTGCACAACGTGCAGGTAAGTTACATATGTATACGTGTGCCATGTTGGTGTGCTGCACCTGTTAACTTGTCATTTAACATTAGGTATATCTCCTAATGCTATCCCTCCCCCCTACCCCCACCCCACAACAGGCCCCAGTGTGTGATGTTCCCCTTCCTGTGGACACAGTGTGCTCATTGTTCAATTCCCATCTATGAGTAAGAACACGCAGTGTTCGGTTTTGTGTCCTTGCGATAGTTTGCTGAGAATGATGGTTTCCAGCTTCATCCATGTCCCTACAAAGGACATGAACTCATCTTTTTTATGGCTGCATAGTATTCCATGGTGAATATGTGCCACATTTTCTTAATCCAGTCTATCATTGTTGGACATTTGGATTGGTTCCAAGTCTTTGCTATTGTGAATAGTGCCGCAATAAACATACGTGTGCATGTGTCCTTATAGCAGCATGATTTATAATCCTTTGGTTATATATCCAGTAATGGGATGGCTGGGTCAAATGGTATTTCTAGTTCTAGATCCCTGAGGAATCACCACACTGACTTCCACAATGGTTGAACTAGTTTACAGTCCCACCAACAGTGTGAAAGTGTTCCTATTTCTCCACATCCTCTCCAGCACCTGTTGTTTCCTGACTTTTTAATGATCGCCATTCTAACTGGTGTGAGATGGTATCTCATTGTGGTTTTGATTTGCATTTCTCTGATGGCCAGTGATGATGAGCATTTCTTCATGTGTCTTTTGGCTGCATAAATGTCTTCTTTTGAAAAGTGTCTGTTCATATCCTTTGCCCACTTGTTGATGGGGTTGTTGTTTTTTTCTTGTAAATTTGTTTGAGTTCATTGTAGATTCTGGATGTTAGCCCTTTGTCAGATGAGTAGATTGCGAAAATTTTCTCCTATTCTGTAGGTTGCCTGTTCACTCTGATGTTAGTTTCTTTTGCTGTGCAGAAGCTCTTTAGTTTAATTAGATCCCATTTGTCAATATTGGCCTTTGTTGCCATTGCTTTTGGTGTTTTAGACATGAAGTCCTTGCCCATGCCTATGTCCTGAATAGTAAAGACTAGGTTTTCTTCTAGGGTTTTTATGGTTTTAGGTCTAACATTTAAGTCTTTAATCCATCTGGAATTAATCTTTGTATAAGGTGTAAGGAAGGGATCCAGTTTCGACTTTCTACATATGGCTAGCCAGTTTTCCCAGCACCATTTAGTAAATAGGGAATCCTTTCCCCATTTCTTGCTTTTGTCAGGTTTGTCAAAGATCAGATGGTTGTAGATATGCAGCATTAGTTTTGAGGGCTCTGTTCTGTTCCATTGGTCTATATCTCTGTTTTGGTACCAGTACCATGGTGTTTTGGTTACTGTAGCCTTGTAGTATAGTTTGAAGTCAGGTAGCATGATGCCTCCAGGTTTGTTCTTTTGGCTTAGGATTATCTTGGTGATGCAGGCCCTTTTTTGGTTCCATATGAACTTTAAAGTAGTTTTTTCCAATTCTATGAAGAAAGTCATTGGTAGCTTGATGGGGATGGCATTGAATCTATAAATTACCTGGGGCAGTATGGCCATTTTCACAATATTGATTCTTCCTACCTATGAGCATGGAATGTTCTTCCATTTGTTTGTATCCTCTTTTATTTCATTGAGCAGTGGTTTGTACTTCTCCTTGAAGAGGTCCTTCATGTCCCTTGTAAGTTGGATTCCTAGGTATTTTATTCTCTTTGAAGCAATTGTGAATGGGAGTTCACTCATGATTTGGCTCTCTGTCTGTTATTGGTGTATAGGAATGCTTGTGATTTTTGCAATTGATTTTGTATCCTGAGACTTTGCTGAAGTTGCTTGTCAGCTTAAGGAGATTTTGGGCTGAGACAATGGGGTTTTCTAGATATACAATCATGTCATCTGCAAACAGGGACAATTTGACTTCCTCTTTTGCTAATTGAATACCCTTTATTTCCTTCTCCTGCCTGATTGCCCTGGCCAGAACTTCCAACACTATGTTGAATAGGAGTGGTGAGAGAGGGCATCCCTGTCTTGTGCCAGTTTTCAAAGGGAATGCTTCCAGTTTTTGCCCATTCAGTATGATACTGGCTGTGGGTTTGTCATAGATAGCTCTTATTATTTTGAGATACGTCCCAACAATACCTAATTTATTGAGAGTTTTTAGCATGAAAGGCTGTTGAATTTTGTAAAAGGCCTTTTCTGCATCTATTGAGATAATCATGTGGTTTTTGTCATTGGTTCTGTTTATGTGCTGGATTACGTTTATTGATTTGCGTATGTTGAACCAGCCTTGCATCTCAGGGATGAAGCCCACTTGATCATGGTGGATAAGCTTTTTGATGTGCTGCTGGATTCAGTTTGCCAGTATTTTATTGAGGATTTTTGCATCGATGTTCATCAGGGATATTGGTCTAAAATTCTCTTTTGTGTTGTGTCTCTGCCCGGCTTTGGTATCAGGATGATGCTGGCCTCATAAAATGAGTTAGGGAGGATTCCCTCTTTTTCTATTGATTGGAATAGTTTCAGAAGGAATAGTACCAGCTCCTCCTCGTACCTCTGGTAGAATTCGGCTGTGAATCCATCTGGTCCTGGACTTTTTTTGGTTGGTAAGCTATTAATTATTGCCTCAATTTCAGAGCCTGTTATTGGTCTATTCAGAGATTCAAATTCTTCCTGGTTTAGTCTTGGGAGGGTGTATGTGTCGAGGAATTTTCCATTTCTTCTAGATTTTCTAGTTTATTTGCATAGAGATGTTTATAGTATTCTCTGATGGTAGTTTGTATTTCTGTGGGATTGGTGGTGATATCCCCTTTATCATTTTTTATTGCATCTATTTGATTCTTCTCTCTTTTCTTCTTTATTAGTCTTGCTAGCAGTCTATCAATTTTGTTGATCTTTTCAAAAAACGAGCTCCTGGATTCGTTGATTTTTTGAAGGGTTTTTTGTGTCTCTGTGTCCTTCAGTTCTGCTCTGATCTTAGTTATTTCTTGCCTTCTGCTAGCTTTTGAATGTGTTTGCTCTTGCTTCTCTAGTTCTTTTTATTGTGATGTTAGGGTGTCAATTTTAGATCTTTCCTGCTTTCTCTTGTGGGCATTTAGTGCTATAAATTTCCCTCTACACACTGATTTGAATGTGTCCCAGAGATTCTGGTATGTTGTATCTTTGTTCTCGTTGGTTTCAAAGAACATCTTTATTTCTGTCTTCATTTCGTTATGTACCCAGTAGTCATTCAGGAGCAGGTTGTTCAGTTTCCATGTAGTTGAGCGGTTTTGAGTGAGTTTCTTAATCCTGGGTTCTAGTTTGATTTGCACTGTGGTCTGAGAGACAGTTTGTTATAATTTCTGTTTTTTTACATTTGCTGAGGAGTGCTTTACTTCCAACTATGTGGTCAATTTTGGAATAGGTGTGGTGTGGTGCTGAAAAGAATGTACATTCTGTTGATTTTGGGTGGAGAGTTCTGTAGATGTCTATTAGGTCCACTTGGTGCAGAGCTGAGTTCAATTCCTGGATATCCTTGTTAACTTTCTGTCTTGTTGATCTGTCTAATGTTGACAGTGGGGTGTTAAAGTCTCCCATAATTATTGTGTGGGAATCTAAGTCTCTTTGTAGGTCTCTAAGGACTTGCTTTATGAATCTGGGTGCTCCTGTATTGGGTGCATATATATTTAGGATAGTTAGCTCTTCTTGTTGAATTGATCCCTTTACCATTATGTAGTGGCCTTCTTTGTCTCTTTTGATCTTTGTTGGTTTAAAGTCTGTTTTATCAGAGACTAGGATTGCAAACCCTGCCTTTTTTTGTTTTCCATTTGCTTGGTAGATCTTCCTCCATCCCTTTATTTTGAGCCTATGTGTGTCTCTGCACATGAGATGGGCTTCCTGAATACAGCACACTGATGGGTCTTGACTCTTTATCCAATTTGCCAGTCTGTGTCTTTTAATTGGAGCATTTAGCCCATTTACATTTAAGGTTAATATTGTTATGTGTGAATTTGATCCTGTCATTATGATGTTAGCTGGTTATTTTGCTCGTTAGTTGATGCTGTTTCTTCCTAGCCTCGATGGTCTTTACAATTTGGCATGTTTTTGCAGTGGCTGGTACCAGTTGTTCCTTTCCATGTTTAGTGCTTCCTTCAGGAGCTCTTTTAGGGCAGGCCTGGTGGTGACAAAATCTCTCAGCATTTGCTTGTCTGTAAAGGATTTTATTTCTCCTTCACTTATGAAGCTTAGTTTGGCTGGATATGAAATTCTGGATTGAAAAATGTATGTTAATGCAGTGAGAGGAATGCAGTCTGTCAATTATATATATACAATACATATATATAGTCAATCCTCATTATTCACAGATTCTGTATTTGCAAATTTCTCTACTCACTAAAATCTATTTGTAACCTTATAATTAATACCCAACAGTGTTTTCACACTCATTCAAACACAAATGGCAAAAAATTTGAGTCACTGGACTTGCACGTTCTTAAGTGAGATCAAGCAAAGCAATGCTCTGCCTTCTTGTTTCAGCTATCATAATGTAAACGTGTCCTTTTGGGGGTACATTTCATGGTACATTCTTCATTTTTCTTGTGTTTTTGTTTTTGTTCGTGATTTCCCTGTTTAAAATGGCCGCTAAGCATTATGCTAAAGCACTGTGTAGTGTTTCTATTTGCAAGAAGGTTGTGGTGTGCCTTATAGAGAAACATGGGTGGTAGATTAGCTTCGTCCAGGCATGATACAGTGCTTATTGGCTTTGAGTTAAATATTAATGAATTATATATGGATATAGATATTATATATGGCTATAATATATATCAGATATATATGCTTATATATAAGGATACATATGCTTATATATAAGGTATATATGCTTATATATGATATATAAGCATATATACATACATAGATATAGATATATATCTTATATATATCTTATGTATATTACATGCATATATAATCTATGTGAATATATTTTATATATAGAACATATATATATGATAATTCAAGAGCATGTATCTTGTTTATCCTGTGGCATGGCACGTCCAAGGCACAATTGCACATCCAAGTCATGTTTCTGTATATCCTCCTCAGGGGCACATGCACTGATAGAATAAAGGACATTGTGACCCTTAATTTTATGAGTCAACTTGACTGGGCTAAAGGATGCCTAGTAGCTGGTAAAACTATTTCTAAGCATTTCTGTGAGGGTGCTTACCAGAAGAGATTTGAATTGATAGGCTGGGTAAGACTATCCACCCTCCCCACTGTGCATGGGCATCATCCAATCTATTGAGGAACCGAATAGGACAGAAAGGCTGCGGAAAGGCAAATTCTGTCTCTTTTTGAGCAGGAGCATCCATTTTCTCTTGCCCCAGGACATCAGAGCTCCTGGTTCCCAGGCTTTTGGACTCTGGGACTTATATCAGCACCCCAATCCCCTTTTCTCAGTCTTGCAGCTTCAGACTAGAACTTAAACAATTGACTTCCCTGGTTCTCAGGCCTCTGGACTCAACTGAATCATACCACTGGCTTTACTAGGTCCTCAGCTTGCCAATGTCATATCATGGGACATCTTGGCCTCCATAATCTCATGAGCCAATTATAATAAATCTCCTTATATTTATATATATTCTATTGGTTCTGCTTCTCTGGAGAACTGTCTAATACATATGTGATCTAAAATTTCTGAATTATTAAATAATCAAATAAAAGATATCTACATATGTGCATAATATAGAAAGAAACTATTTTTAAAATGTAAAATATAAATCAAAATAATGAAAGCAAGGTAAAATAAAATCTAATTATAACTGTAAATGGGGTAATTTAGTTATATTTCAAGAGCAAAAACTCTCTGGCATGGGCAAAAAAACTAATTCCAATTATAAGCGTTGGATATTGAGAAAGAAAAGTGTTTTTGATGGACTAAAATTTAAAGGATGGGCAGTCAAATATCAGAAAATACAGGTAAAAAAAATTGCTAGAATAGAATGTTCTAGAAATCAAAGCAAAACTTATTAAAAAGATGGAAAACATATTTGACAAAGTGCATAAATGAAGATAAAGATATAATAGCTATGAATAATAAATTTGGCAACAAAAAGTCTTAAAATATAAAGCAAGAATTGTTAAAGATTAAAGAATAAATATAAATTTTTAAATGGGATATAGAATATCTAATTTATGGGATTAAAGTTCTTCTTATAGCCACATATTGAAATGTAAGTCTACAAGTAGAAAATGCAACCCTTCTCACAGGTTTATGAAACATTTATAAATGTTAATTATAAGCTCCCAAGAAGAGCTTAATACATTTTAGGATTTTACAAGCCAATTCTATCTTAAGAATGCAATAAAACTGAGAATCAATAATGAGGAATATTAATAACCCAGTCACTTGGAATAGTAACAATGTTATTGTAAATAATTTTTAATATAAAAGAAAATTTTTTAAACTTTGTTTTTAAATAGCCAAAATAAAACCAGTACATGTACTAGTTCACAGGATCCAGTCAAAAGTTGTGACAAGAAGAAAAATTCACAATGGAATATTATTCAGCCATAAAAAAGAATTTAATCCTCTCATTTGCAGCAACATGAATGGAACTGGAGGTCATTATTTAAGTGAAATAAGCCAGGTACAGAAAGACAAAAATTGGATGTACCATCTCCTATATGGGAGCTAAAAAAGTTTATCTCAAGGAAGTAGAAATTAGAATGGTGCTTACCAGAGGCTGGGAAGTATGGGGGAGAGGGGAGATAGAGAGAGACTGGTTAATGGTTGCAAAAATACAGTTAGAAATAAGTAAGTTCTAGTGTTCAATAGTACAGTACAAGGACTATAGTTATCAATAATATACTGTATATTTCAAAATAGCCAGAAGAGAAGATGTGGAATGTTCTCAACACAAATAAATGATAAATGTTTGAGGTGATAAGTATCTCAGTTACTCTGATTTAATCAGTGCACATTGTATGAATGTATCAAAATATCACATATGCCCCATAAATATGTAAAATTGTATATCAATAAAAAAAGACTAATCTTCTATCATTGCAAAAGAGAATGGAAATAAATAAGCTAATTATTTAGTTCTAGAAGCTAGAAATGAGAAATCAGAATCCTGGCAAAATATGAAGAAGAAATAGATATAGATATAGATAAATATAAAATTAATTAAAAACAATAAATATATTGATAAATCCATCTGAAAGCTATTTCTTGAAAAAATAATAAAATATAGGATACACAAGGAAATTAAATTAGAAACAGGTAGGGATTATAATCCAAAATATAAAAGACACCTATGCAATAAAATGGCAAATATGCCAGGCTAATAAATTTGAAATTGTTAACAAAATAGATTTTTTAAAAATTGTATTATTTATTTATTTTGAGACAGAGTCTCGCTCTGTCACCCAGGCTGGAATGCAGTGGCACAGTCTTGGTTCACTGCGACCTCTGCCTCCTGAATTCAAGCGACTCTCCTGCCTCAGCCTCCTGAGTAGCTGGGATTACAGGTGTGCGCCACCATGCCTGGCTAATTTTTGTATTTTTAGTAGAGACGGCATTTCACCATGTTGGTCAGGCTGGTCTCGAACTCCTGACCTTGTGATCTGCCTGCCTCAGCCTCCCAAAGTGCTGGGATTACAGGTGTGAGCCACTGCGCCTGGCCTAAAATAGATTATTTTAATAAATATATACATATATATATATATATTGCACCATTCTTAATGTTGACAAGATTAGAACCATCTAATGAACCTGGAGAGAAATGTAATTAGTCCTAGGCCTAGATGGTTTTATTTCTAATTTCTTTTTAAATTTTTAAAGAAATATAGGGCCTCAAAAAAAAACCTTAGGAGATTTTCCAGATTATTATATAAGATGAACATTATCCTGGCATAAAATATAGAAAATAATAAAATTCAACAAAGCAATACAGGTTGAGCATCCTTAATCCAAACATTCAAAATCCAAAATGCTCCAAAATTCAAACTTTTTGAGCACTGACATAATACTACAAGTGGATAATTCCACACCTGACCTCACGTGATACATTCCAGTCTAAAGGCAGTCAAAATTTTGTTTCATGCATGTTATTTAAAATATTGCATAAAATTTCTTTCAGGCTATGTGTATAAGGTGTATATGAAACAGAAAAAAATTATGTGCTTAAACTTGGGCCCTGTCTCCAAGATATTTTATTATGTATATGCAAATATTCCAAAATCCAAAATATATCTGAAATATGAAACACTTCTGGTCCCATGCATTTTGGATAAGGGATACTCAACCTCTCCATGAATCTCATAAGAAAATAGGCATTAAATACACCAAATAAAACACAGGTAAATCATGTAGTAACTTGTGGCAGACCAACTGTCCCAAAAAGAACAATTGGAAATGGATTGTATATTTTTAAAAGTCTGTTTGAAGGCTTCAGTGAGTTTGTTAAGTTTATTAATCTAGGCTTTAAAGGCCAATATCCTGAGCAGGGAAGAATCTGAGAAGTAAGCTAGCATTCTTTGTATTTCTTTTCTCCTTGTGGTATTTGTCAACTCTTGGCATAAGAGAAACACCCCTCCAAACCCCCCAACCCACCAAAAAACAGATAACAAATCAAATGAGGCCACCAGAGGAACACTTTCGGAAATTTTGTAGGACTGGAAGTACAAAAATTGTAGATTGGGGCTTCCAAGTCAGCCAGAATTTTATCAGTAAATATCTTAGAAGAGTGGTGCAGAAAAGTGAGCTTTATATTTTGCTTTTTTTTTTTTTTTTTTTACATCAAGACACCTGCCAATTATTTAAGCTAGGCAAAGGCAGAATAAAATAAGCTAACTGGAAAATCTCTAAAAAATCAAAGCAAAACTTGACAGTGCTAAAGAAACAAAAATTTTGAATTCAAGACATTTAAAGAAAGAGAGGTTCCAGTATGTATCTTCAAATCTCCATTGGTTCCCCTGGAAAACTATATCCTAGGAATCAGGTTAAACCAGAGACCAACCAAACTTTACAAAAATTGCAATCCAGTTTTAGATAAATGTAATCCTTGATGGATTTACGGTAATATACCCCATAGGAATTGTCCCAAGCGTGATGAACTTTCTCTGTTCAATGTAAACTTATTTAGAACATCTACCTCTTTGTAAGTGAAATAACTGGATTTTTTTTTTGAGACAGAATCTTGTTCTGTCACCAGGCTGAGTGCAGTGGAGTGATCTCCGCTCACTGCAACCTCCGCCTCCCGTGTTCAAGTGATTCTCCTGTCTCAGCCTCCTGAGCAGCTGGAACTACAGGTGTGTACCACCACACCCAGCTAATTTTTGTATTCTTAGTAGAGACGGGGTTTCACCATGTTGGCCAGGATGGTCTCCATGTCTTGACCTCGTGATCCAACCGCCTTGGCCTCCCAAAGTGCTGGAATTACAGGCCTGCGCCACTGTGCCTGGCCTGGAATTCAATTTTTTAAATGTCAGCTATATCAAGGAACAGGACCAAAAAAAAGTAGACAAGAGATATGCACCGTCAATTCACTGTACTTACCAGACATGAAACTCTAATTAATAGCTCAAGAAAATTGATGACAAGATGGAGAATTTCACCAAAAATACTGTATCTATAAAAAATTCAGTAGCAATTCCAGAACTAAAAATAATGTGGTAATGAAAACTAAGAACTTGATTTAAAAGTTGACTAGGCCAGGCATGGTGGCTCACATTTTGGGAGGCCGAGGCAGGTGGATCACCTGAGGTTGGGAGTTGGAGACCAACCTGACCAACATGGAGAAAACCCGTCTCTACTAAAAATACAAAATTAGCTGGGCGTGGTGTCGCATGCCTGTAATCCCAGCAACTCGGGAGGCTAAGGCAGGAGAATCGCTTGAACCCAGGAGGCGGAGGTGGCGGTGAGCCGAGATCACGCCATTGCACTCCAGCCTGGGCAACAAGAGCAAAAATCCATCTCTAAATAAATAAATAAATAAAATACATGAAATAAGAAAAAATAAAAGTTGACTGGACAAAATCAAAAGGATTAATAAACTAGAAAATGAATGATTAGAAAATATTCAAGAGAGTTATAAAGAGCAAAACAAACAGAAAACACATAAACTAGCCTAAGGGATAAACGGAACATGATAAAAATATTGAATATATTTTAAAATTAATTATCAGAAGGAGAGTAGAAAAAGAATCAAATAGAAATGAAAAGATAACGTCAATACATTTTCCAAAACCCACTAAAGGAATTAAACCACACATTCAAGAAGCACTAAGAATAGCAACATTTAAATAAAACACACACACTTCAGCCTATCAGCATAAAACTAAGAACAAATACAAAATACATTTTTAAGATTTTTAAGAGAAAAGAACAACATTAACTTCAAATGAACAAACAAGATTTACGACTAAATTCCCACCAAAACAATGGGAGCCATAAAGGCAATGGAATAACTTTCTATAAGAGCTGAAGGAAAATTTACTGCCCACCAGAATTCTATGCCTAGAAAAAAACTCCTTCATAAGTAAATAAATGAAATACAAACTGAATGACTTTTATTATCATATTCCAGAATAGACTTTTTAAAATTATACTTTAAGTTTTAGGGTACATGTGCACAACGTGCAGGTTAGTTACATATATATACATGTGCCATGTTGGTGTGCTGCACCCATTAACTCGTCATTTAACATTAGGTATATCTCCTAATGCTATCCCTCCCCCCTACCCCCACCCCACAACAGGCCCCAGTGTGTGATGTTCCCCTTCCTGTGTCCATGTGTTCTCATTGTTCAATTCCCATCTATGAGTGAGAACATACGGTGTTTGGTTTTTTGTCCTTGTGATAGTTTGCTGAGAATGATGGTTTCCAGCTTCATCCATGTCCCTACAAAGGACGTGAACTCATCATTTTTTATGGCTGCATAGTATTCCACGGTGAATATGTGCCACATTTTCTTAATCCAGTCTATCATTGTTGGACATTTGGGTTGGTTCCAAGTCTTTGCTATTGTGAATAATGCCGCAATAAACATACGTGTGCATGTGTCTTTATAGCAGCATGTTTTATAATCCTTTGGGTATATACCCAGTAATGGGATGGCTGGGTCAAATGGTATTTCCAGTTCTAGATCCCTGAGGAATCACCACACTGTCTTCCACAATGGTTGAACTAGTTTACAGTCCCACCAACAGTGTGAAAGTGTTCCTATTTCTCCACATCCTCTCCAGCACCTGTTGTTTCCTGACTTTTTAATGATCGCCATTCTAACTGGTGTGAGATGGTATCTCATTGTGGTTTTGATTTGCATTTCTCTGATGGCCAGTGATGATGAGCATTTTTTCATGTGTCTTTTGGCTGCATAAATGTCTTCTTTTGAGAAGTGTCTGTTCATATCCTTCGCCCACTTGTTGATGGGGTTGTTTGTTTTTTCTTGTAAATTTGTTTGAGTTCATTGTAGATTCTGGATATTAGCCCTTTGTCAGATGAGTAGATTGCAAAAATTTTCTCCCATTCTGTAGGTTGCCTGTTATGGTAGTTTCTTTTGCTGTGCAGAAGCTCTTTAGTTTAATTGGATCCCATTTGTCAATTTTGGCTTTTGTTGCCATTGCTTTTGGTGTTTTAGACATGAAGTCCTTGCCCATGCCTATGTCCTGAATGGTATTGGTGCTGGGAAAACTGGCTAGCCATATGTAGAAAACTGAAACTGGATCCCTTCCTTACACCTTATACAAAAATTAATTCAAGATGGATTAAAGACTTAAATGTTAGACCTAAAACCATAAAAACCCTAGAAGAAAACCTAGGCAATACCATTCAGGACATTTTTAATATTCTACAAATAAGGGAGAACACATACAGTTACATGAAAATGGTCAGAAATTGGAACAAGCTCTTAAGTGGCCAACAAACATGTGAAAAGTATTTAAAATAACCTGTCATCTGGGAAATGCAAATTATAATTACAATGAGATGTCAGTATGCAACCACAAGGGTGGCTGAATTGTTTTTAAAAGGTGGTAGCAGCAAATATTAGCAAGAATGTGGAACTGAAACATCCATACACTACAAATAGGAAAATAAACTGATAACTTGGAAAACTGTTTGACAGTATCTACCAAAGCTGGAATATATGCATGTACTGTGACTCAGCATTGTCATTTCTGGGTATATACTTGAGAGCAATGTGCTTACATGTGCACCAAAATCATGTACAACAATGTTTGTATTCATAATTGATAGTCACAAAATAGGAAAATATGTGTCAATCAAGATTAGAATTAAGAAGTAAATATGGCATAGTCACACAGTAAATTATAATAAAGCAGTGAAATAAAAAGTTACTGCTATACTCAAAAATTTGGATGAATCTGAGATATAATATTGAGCAAATGAAGGTAGACACTGAAAATATATACTGTATGAATACACTTAAATGAAGTTAAAAACAATCAAAACCATAGTGATAGATATCAGAATGGTGGTTGCCTTTAGAATGAATATTAGCTGGGAAGGTATAAGAGGGAGATTTCTAAGGTGCAGGTAATACCCAATATCTTGATCAAACTAGTGATTACATAGATGTATATTTTGCAAAACAAAATACAGTTATACATTAGAGTTATACAGGTGCTGTACATGTGTATACTTCAATAGAAATATTAAAGGTAAGTGAAAACAAAGACATTTCCAGACGAAATATAAGAGAATTCATTGCCAGTAGACTTGTACTGAAATAAATATTTAAGGAGGTTCTTCAGATAGAAGAAAAACTGTCCCAGATAGAAATACAAGAAAAAAATGAGGTGTGAAGAGCATACAAAAGAAACATAAAGAAGTGGGTCAAATGGAATTAAACTCTTGGAAGATTCTTGTACTTCCTGGGAAATTGTAAAAGACAAAACAAAACCCTCATCTATATTATATGAGACTATAATAAGTGATGGATGAATGTTGTATAATTAAAGATAAGTACTCAAACTATAGTAATAACTGAGAAGCTAACAGAATGGAAAATAGAATAATAAAAATTACTCGACTAATCCAAAAGAAAAGAAAGTCGAGAAAAAGAAATACAAAGTGAGTGGAGCAAATAAAAAGCAAATAGTAAGATTGTAGACCAAACCTCAAATATATATGTATATGTATAATTGTACTAAATAAAAATAGGCTAAGTATTTCAACAAAAAGAAAAAATTATCAAACTATATGATGCTTAAGAGAAACAATTCTTAATAGAGAAAGTTCAAAAGTAAAAAGATGGGGGAAAAGGTGAACCATGTAAAGATGAACCTAACAATATTAGCACTTTAACAACAGATGAAGTGTTTAAAGCAAAAATCATTACCAGAAATTGAATTGATTACTTCAAAAAGATCAAAAGGTAAATTCACCAAGAAGACTGACAATTCTTAACTTGTTTGCCCCAATAACATAGATTCAGAAGATATACAACAATAACTGACAGAACAAAATGGAGAAATAGAAGATCAAAATCAGAGCTAAGATTTTGGCCTGTTGCTCTTTATACATGATTAAAGAAACAGACAAAAAATTGAGTAAGCAATTATGAGATCCAAATAACAAAATTAATAAACTTGACTTAATTGACATATATAGAATGCAGCAACCACCAACTATAGAATGTACTTTCTATTTTTTTTCTTTTTTCTTTTTTTTTTTTTTTGAGATGGAGTCTTGCTCTGTTGCCCAGGCTGGAGTGCAGTGGCACAATCTCAGCTCACTGCAACCTCCGCCTCCTGGGTTCACGCCATTCTCCTGCCTCAGCCTCCCAAGTAGCTGGGACTACAGGCGCTCACCACCATGCCCGGCTAATTTTGTTTTTGTATTTTTAGTAGAGACGGGGTTTCACCGTGTTAGACAGGATGGTGTCGATCTCCTGACCTCGTTATCTGCTCGCCTCAGCCTCCCAAAGTGCTGGGATTACAGGCGTGAGCCACTGTGCCGGACCAGAATGTACTTTCTTTTAAGAGCACATGAAATATTTACCAAAATCCACCATATACTGAGCTATAAAGTCTCAATGAATTGCAAAGAATTGAAATAATGTGGAAGAAGATTACAAAACTAAAATGGAATTGTGCTAGAAAACAAATAGCAAAAAAATTAGAAAATTCCCTAATATTTGCATTTTAAACAATATTATTCAAAATAAGTTAAAGTCAATAAAGAAATCTCAATGAAAATTAGAAAATCCTTTTCACTACTTGACAATTAAAAAAACTATATAGCAGAACTTAAGGGATATAGCCAAAGCTGTTCTTCAAGAGAAATGTATTATCTTAAATGCCTATAGTATATTAGAAAAGAAAAAAGCTGCAAACAATTATCTAAGTACCAATTTCTAGAAGTTAGAGAAAGAAGAGAAATCAAAACTAGAAGTAAAATGAAATAAATTTTAGAGTAGGGAAATCAGCAAAGTAGAAATTAAGCAATAGAGAATTAACCAAATTAAACGCTGGTTCTTTGTAAAAAATTACTAATACTGATAAAACCCTGATAAGATTAATGAAGTTAAAAAAAAGGAAGGGAAGAATATATTACCAATTGGAAATAAAAAGAGGACATAATTATAGTCTTCATGAACCTTAAACAGATAATAAAAGACTATTATGAAAGACTTTATTAATAAATTGGAAAATCAGATAAAATTAATGAATATCTGGAACAACACTACTTATCAAAACTAAATCAAGAAGAATTTTTAAAAACCAATTGACCTATACATTTATTAAAGAAATTGAATCTACAAATAAAATCGTTGCCATGGAACATTCTCCAGGCCCAAGAAACTTCACCTATAATTTTTATAAATATTCAAGGAACAACACCAATCTTAACGCAAAAAAAAATTTCAGAAGAATAGGAAAAAGAGAAAATACTTCTATGTTATATTATAAATCCAGAATAATTCTGATATAAAATCTGATAAGAACATTACCAAAAAAGTAAAATCACGGATTTATGAGCATACATGTAAAAACACTAGTAAATTTCTATTAAAATAACAAAAATATTAGCAAATATATATATAAAAAAAGCACACCACAGTCCAATTGGATATGTTTCAAGAATAGAAGGACAGTGCAACAAACACCAATCCATGCAAGTCACCACCGTGAGAGAAGCCATACCATTTACTTCATATAATGCAGAGAAAACATTTGCTAAAATTTAAAACCTCCTCATCAGTTAAAAAAGAACCAACGAAACTTATTTTTAACAAAATCCAGCAAGCTTGGGGAAATAGACAAAATTTATCTAAAATTTCTTCAGAAATGCAAATAGCTTGGAATAGCAAAAATAATCTTTAAGAAGAAAACCTTTAGAAAACAAGGCTTCTTTAAAAAGTTAGAGTAAGATATATTGATATGAAGGTTAGAAAAGAGGTGAATAAAATAAAATAAACAGTCTAGAAACAACACCATGCAAGAACAATCTCACTATCTATGACTAAAATGCCACAGCGAAGGAAAAGGATGATCTTCTCAATAAGTGGCGCTAGATCAGTTTTATGTTTTTATGAAAATATAAACTTCTGCACTGCAACATACATAGAAATCAAATCTAGATAGATCTAGATAGCTTAATACAAGAGTTAAAGCAATAAAACTTTTACAATATAACAGAATAAATATTTTTATGAACTTGGGATAGGTAATGATTTTTAAAATTAAACACAAATGGCATTACCATAAAAGAAAAGATTGACAAATTGGACTATAGAAAAAATTATAACATCTATTAATTAAAAGACATACTACAGAATTGGTAAAGATAAATATAAGATTAAGATATGATGAGGGAGTCATTCAGAATAACAAACTTTTACTAAACAGTAACAAAAAGAAGTCATCAATAAAAACTAGCTAAGAAAAACCTCTTCCAAACAATAAAAGAAGAGGAAACACTTCCAAATGTATTTTATGAAGCTAGCATCACCTGATTGATACCAGAGCCAGACAAGAACACAATAAAAAGATATAAAAGGAAAACTACAGGCCAATATCCCTGATGAAAACAGATGCAAAAATTCTCAATAAAATACTAGCAAAGTGAATTAA